>NC_000002.12:193247193-193550224 GCF_000001405.40 Homo sapiens
GCTGGTTTTGTTTTGCTTTATTTTGATTTTGCATATGGGAATTGGAAGAAGTAAACTTCCAGAGTTATCTCTGTGCCAGGAATTTATATCTTTTCAATATTTCTCTTTGATAGGGTCCAAAATCCCTGAACAGAAGGTGATTCCTATTCCTAGGGATAAGGAAATAATACAGAAACTAGACAATGTAGGTACTATTAACTACATCTTAAGAGCTTTTGAATGTGGCTTGTTGAAAGATCCTGTAAGCCAATTCTATAGACCAAAAACAAAAGTAATTTATAACAACCTGAAAAAAATGATTAATTATACAAAAATCAAAACATTGGAAGCATTCAGACTAGGTAAAAACTTATTTGGGTTCATGTCAAATAAAATTAAACTGTAAATTTTGGCCACAATCAAAGCTAATATATTTTTTAACTTATATGTTTGTATTGCATGATTGGAGATCCTCTGCACAAATTATATTTGATTAAACTGTTAACTAGATCTTCTTGCTCAGTAACTGGTCTTAAATCTCAGGCTATGCTGTATCAAGATCTATGCCCTATGTAAGATTGTAAAAGATTCTCAACATACCTAGCATCTCATGATCTTCTATGACTTTGAGTGCCTGCTTGAACTGAGTTAGTGTAAGTTTTGAATCATTTCACGTTTTCTACATCCTGCTTGTTTTCTTCACTCTTCACCTAGAATTCAGAAAATACCTTTAATCTCCTCACTACTACACCCATCTCCAGACACACACACAGACACATACACACACTCAATTTAGAAAATACATTTGTACTCATTATATGTGTGAAGGAATAGGGAAAAGATTTGCTTTGCTAGAATCTGAGATAATTAAAATTTAAAAATGGACACAATTTTTACAGAATTCCTTTATATTTTTTTTGCCATACTACATCCTATTTTATTTTATCTCTTCTGTGCCCACAAATTTCTATAAATTTCCATTATAAAATGTTTTCACTTATGATGTTACCAATCTTTTGATGTTCTATGCCAATGTGGTTCTAACCATTGGCCTAAAAAGGTTGTTGATGTAATTTTATACAAAAATTTTTGTTTTGAATATAATTGTTTTTTCAGGTGATCCTTCCATCTCAGCCTCTTGAGTACCTGGAACCAAAAGCGGACACCACCATGCCCAGCTAATTTTTTTTATTATACTTTAAGTTCTGGGGTACATGTGCAGAATGTGCAGTTTTGTTACACAGGTATACACATGCCATGGTGGTTTGCTTTAAGTTCTGGGGTATATGTGCAGAACGTGCAGGTTTGTTACACAGGTACACGTGTGCCATGGTGGTTTGCTGCACCCATCAACCCATCATCTACATTAGGTATCTCTCCTAATGCTATCCCTCCCTTTGCCCCCACCCCACAGCAGGCCCCAGTGTGTGATCTTCCCCTCCCTGTGTCCATGTGTTCTCATTGTTCAACTCCCACTTATGAGTGAGAACATGTGGTTTTTGGTTTTCTGTTCTTGTGATAGTTTGCTGAGAATTATGATTTCCAGCTTCATCCATGTCTCTGCAAAGGATATGGTCTCATCTTTTTTATGGCTGCATAGTATTCCATGGTGTATATGTGCCACATTTTCTTCATCCAGTCTAACATTGATGGGCATTTGGGTTGGTTCCAAGTATCTGCTATTGTGAATATTGCTGCAATAAACATACATGTGCATGTGTCTTTATAGTAGAATAATTTATAATCCTCTGGGTATATATCCAGTAAAGGGATTGCTGGGTCAAATGGTATTTCTGGTTCTTGATCCTTGAGGAATCGCCATACTATCTTCCACAATGGTTGAACTAATTTACACTCCCACCAAGAGTGTAAAAGGGTTCCTATTTCTTCACATTCTATACCAAAATATTAAAATTCCATCTATCCATCCCAGCACACAAAGAAAAACCCAGATTATTTTTAAGTTGTTACCCAACTACAATAATATTTTAAATTCCATAAAACACGAATTAGGTGAAGAGTGGGAATTCATGGAGTAGAAAGCTCTAGGAATCAGTTTCTCCATCAAAGTATCTATGTATCTAACAAGATCTGTCAAAATCAACTACTTTGGAAATCCATTAATAAATATACTTGCATCCAGGGAGGGCTTGATGAAGAAAGCAGCTGGTACATTTTGTTATGTTTTGGTGTTCTGCACAGCAACTACCAACCTCAGCTCCAGTAGCAGGCAGTGGTGAGACAGGAGCCTGTGTTGCATGTGGTTTTGTTCTGGCTTGCTGGTACCAAGGTGGGCAATAAGAACCTTGACCTCAAAAAATTAAAGTTGGGTCTTTGATCTTCCAAGTGGTTCACTGATGGACTGATGCAGAGGCAAGCCAATGTTTCATCCCCGTGAAGTCAAAATGGATTCTTAGGCAGCATCTGTTGAAATAATTTAAAAAGACAGAGCACATTTTTGTTTGTTTCTGTTTTTTTTTTCAAATCCAAGAATTCAAGAAAATCTTTATGAGATCCCTGCATGACCACAGAGATAACTGACTAAAGATTTTAGTCACTACACCTTATGAAAAATACAGTCTTTGCTAAAACAATTTTAACTCACTAAACAAACAGCTGAATCCCTTAGTAAGTAACAAAAGCAACCCTGGGTGGGGAGAACATCTAATTGCCAGGTTTACCAGTTATATGCTACTTAAGGTCTAATTCCCAGCAAGAAAATGTATGAAGCATACAAAGAAACAGAAAAGTATGGGCCATTTACTGAAAGAAATAAATAGAAAGTATCAACATGACTTAGTTGGATTTATGACAGGAATGAAAGAGTAGTTCAGCATCTAAGAGCCAATTAATGTGATATACCATATGAACAGACTAAAGAAAATAATGACCATAAAAATAGACAAAGAAAAAGCATTTAACAAAATATGACACACTTTTATTATTAAATACCCTCAGCAATCTAGGAATAGAAGGGGGATTCCTAAACATAAATGACATGTATTTAAAAACCCACACCCTAACTCCCTACATAGGCAAAAATTAACTCAAAATGGATTAGCAGCCTAAATATAAAAGCTAATATTATAAAACAACAGAAGAAAACATGTAGAAAATATGCCATTACAATATATTTTTAGTTGTGTTACCCAAAACATGATCAATATAAGAACAAAAGATAACATAGCTGCACTCCCATATTTATTGCAACATTATTCACAATAGCTAAGATATGGAGGCAACCTAAATATCTATTGACAGAAGACTGGATAGACAGTATGTGTTATATACACATAATGGAATAGTATTCAGCTTAAGAAGAAATGGATACTGCCATGTACAGCAATATAAATGAACCTGGGGAACATTGTGCTATGTAAGATAAACCAGTCACAGAAGAACAGATGCCATATGATTCCACTTTTATGAGGTATCTAGAACAGTAAACTCATAAAAGTAGACAGTAGAGCAGTAGTTGTCAGGCTGGGGAAAAGGGGAAATGTGGAGTGGAGTTATTATTAAATGGGCATAGGCTTTCAGTTATGCAAAATGAGTAAGTTCTAAAGAACTGTACAACATAGTGCCTATGTACACTGTATTGTGCACTTAAAATTTGTTAAAAAGTGGATCTCATGTTGTGTGCTTACCATAATAAAATAATAATAAAAATAAATTAGATGCTATAACATTTTAAAAAGCACTTTTGTGCATCAAAGGACATTATTAAATAGGTAAGAAGAAAACCTACAGAATGGGAAAAGTAGTTACCATAAATCTAATAAGAGTTTAGAATCCAGAATATATAAAGAACTCTTACAACTGAACAACACAAAAGCAAACAACTTAATTTTAAAATTGGCAAAAGAAACAGACAACAAAAGAAAACAAAATGAGCGAATAGAATTACATAAAACTAAAAAGCTTCTGTACAGCAAAGGAAACAATAAACAAAATGAAGAGAAAACCTAAAGGATAACAGAATGTATATTCACACCATGCATCTGATAAGAACTTAATGTTGATATTATACAACAAATACAAACAATAGTAAGGAAAAAAATGGATTAAAAACTGGGCAATTGACCTGTATAGACATTTCTCAAAAGACATACAAATGGCCAACAAGTATATGAAAACATGCTCAGCAGTACTAAACATCAAGGAGGTGCAAATTAAAACAATGAGCTATCACATCACACCTTTTAGAATGGCTATTATCAAAAAGAACAAGTGTGGGTGAGGATGTGAAGAAAAGGGAACTCTTGCACATTTTTTATGGGAATGTAAAATAATCCAGCCATTATTGAAAGCTATATGGGGATTCCTCAAAAAAGTAAAAATAAAACTACCATATGATTCAGAAATTATACTTACTGGGTATATCCAAAGGATATGATATAAATATATCAACGTGTTATCTACTCTCTCATATTCATTGTACTATTATTCACAATAGCTAAGATATTAGTTGACCTAAGTTTTGATGAGTAGATAAATAAACAAGGAAATACAGTGTAAAAAGTAGTTAAAAATAGAATTTTCATTTACTCCAACAATTCCACTCCTAGGTATATACCCAAGAGGAATGAAAACATATGCTCACATAGTTATTGGTACATGAGTGTTTATAGGAGCATCATTCATAATAATCAAAAGGTAGAAACAACCTAAATATTCATCAATGTTTAAATGAAAAGACAAATTTTGGTACATAATCAATACATTTGCTATATAATAGAATATTATTCCAACATAAAACAGAAGGAATTACTGATACACGTTACAACTTGGATGGACTTTGAAAGCATTACACTAAGTGAAAGAAACCAGACACAAAATGTCACATTAAATTATGATTGCTTTTATACAAAATATCCAGAATAAGCAAAACCCTAGAGTCAGAAAGATGATTAATGGTTGCCAGGCTGTGGGGGTAGTGGGAAATGGAAAGTGATTCTTGACGGGTATGGAATGTTCTGAGGTGGTGAAAATATGTTGAAACCAGAGAGAGAGAGATGATGGTTACATAACATTGCAAATGCCCTAAACGCCACTGAATTATACACTTTAAAATGGTTAGTTGTAAGTTATGTAAACTTCATCTTCATAAAAAATAGAAAACACACAAATGTGAATTAAACACTTTCTCAGTCCTTCAATTTGAAGTTTTAGCCATCTTCTGGGAAAAAAAATGTGTTTTGAAAAATATGCTTACTTTTCTGAAATTATGAATTGAATCTGTAAATTTAATCCAGCTCTTATTTTGGGGTTTATAAAGGTAACTCTGGCCAGGCACGATGGCTCACACCTGTAATCCCAGTACTTTAGGGGGCCGAAGCGGGTGGATCACCTGAGGTCGGGAGTTAGAGACCAGCCTGACCAACATGGAGAAACCTCGTCTCTACTAAAAATACGAAATTAGCTGGGTGTGGTGGTGCATGCCTGTAATCCCAGTTACTCGGGAGCCTGAGGCAGAAGAATTGCTTCCGGGAGGCGGAGGTTGTGGTAAACTGAGATTGCACCATTGCACTCCAGCCTGGGCAACAAGAGTGAAACTCCATCTCAAAAAAAAAAGTAAATCTACATCCAAGTTCATGATATAGGCATGATATAGGCATGTATTTCCTGAAAGTTTTTTCAACTAAGAGTTTATTATATTTATATATATTGTTGATGGAATTTGAGAAATACATAGAAAGAAATAACTTCATTTAAAATTCCTGGGACTGGTTAGTAAAATCTTTCCTACCTTTCATATTCAAATACTCAGAATATTCATGACTTCCTTAGGTACCAAGAGCCAAGTTAATCTTATGTTAATTTTTCTATGATCAATTATTGAAATTGATGCAGCCTTAAAGATGACTCTCATTCACTGACTTACATCTATTTGAGGGTTAATGTAAGTGATCTGTTTAATGCTATTTTCTGAAATGTCTTCATGTGCAGTCTCAGGCTTCTTCTCAGATATGCTATGGCCCTTTAGGGAGTTACTAGATCTATGCAAAATGAGCATGAAGCTATTGCTCTGTCTTGTTGGCCTGCAGGGAGTTTAAGAATGAATACCAGGTGCATCCTGTGCTTAAGTTTTTGAGTACTGCCTCTCTTTCTTTGCAACAATATGACAAACTTGAAATGTAAAGCATTTTATGACAGATACTGACAGAAATCAAGGATTCTTTCTGAAGAAAAATAGAGTGAAAAGAAAGAATTTACAATGGATAGCTGAGCTGCATTGGGGAAGAGAATGATAGGCTTGACCTTGATTATTTTTTTTCCATAGAATTTCCCACACCTAAGTACCTTTTCCTCAAGATTGTTTCAGGAGAGTCTAGTATTCATGACATAACACATGTCAGGGCAAGGTCACACATAGCAGGATGTTTCAAGAACCACCAATGAACTGGGGAATATAGATTTTAATATCAACAGGTTCAAGGTGCTGACAGATTGGACACACTTGCTAAGACATCTGATCCCACAGGAAAAATGTGTTTCAGAAATTGATAGCTGATCTGACTGTTGTAGTGTATTGGGAAAAACAAAGGAAAAGAATGTGTTAAGCCTGAATAAACTTGCAGTTTTCTGATTAAATTTTGTGATTCTGCTAGATTTTAATGGCTCAAAAATTGAAAACTAAAACAAAAAAGCAAAATATTTTCGTGGAAACTTGTTTCATTTTTGCGGGGAAGCTGCTGACATGGAAATAGAACTACACAAATGTATTAGTTGAGATTTGGTTCTATGAAAAATAAAACAAATCTAGTTAGATATGCTAAAACAGATATAACAGAAAAATTGATATTTCCACCATTATGTCCAACAATGGTGTCAGTGTCACCATAACAAAGAAAAGACAGTGACAAAATACATTGATTGTTCTCTTTAATGTAGTAAAATTCTTAAATCAGATAATATGTGCCTCTTACTAGATTTTCCAGCATGCCTGAGGATGTTTCTAATAGAAAGACTGCATCCAAACCAGCAAAGATGAGAGCTTGTCTGTCACTGGGAATTAGTGCTAATACCAGGTTTCAAGTGAGGGATTGATTAACTCACAAGAGAAAGGAAGCTACTTTTAGAACATATGACAAGATATTTTAGAATTTTCTTTGCGTCTTTCTGTTCAAAAGCTAAATATATTTCTTTTTCTTCTTTCTTCAGAACTTGCAAAAATCCACAAATACAAACACATTATAGTAACAACTTACGAATAGGGTTTTAACAAAGTCAAATTACAAAGTATTAGACATTTTTTTCAAGCACTATACAATTTGCCCTTTTGCCTTTTATAAATGTAGATATGTGTGCATATATATATATACATATAAATACATATAAATACACAAACACATAAATATAAATTTAAATATATGATAAATTTTATTTAGAATGAATAAAATGAAAACATTTTAAACTAAAATATATGATTCCATCATATCTTGGTTTTAGGACAAAATGTTTCAAGGTATGATTTTAAACTTCATAGAAGGTTTCAATAGCAAAATAAATATATAAAATAAAAATCTTTGAACATTGTTGGTATGTGATCAAGTACTATATTTATTAAATCAATCATCTTAGCAAAGTGCATGATTCAAAGATACTATTGCCTGGGCCATTCTGCTGTGCTTGTTAAAAAATTAAAAGAAACCTTAATATTTGCTTTTAGCTTACTGATTTTGGTTTTAAGTTATATATAGACAAGGTCATCATTTTTATTTAACTCACTAGAATTTTATAAGGGCAAATATTGCCTTAACTACCATATAAATACTTATTTCCAAAGTGTGCTTGCCCAATCCCAACCTTATTCTAATTGTTTGCACCCCTCCATGCTTGAACCCAGAATTGTTACAAGAAATATGCAGTGTGTAAACGTGTGTATACTGATAGTTAATATAGACACTGTCTGCGTAATTACCCTCAAGGTAGCACAAACACATTTGGGGAAAAATATGGAATAGCGATCTTAACAAATTTGGATATTTACAGACTTTTCTCCACTATTTTTGGGAATCAGCAAGCTATAACAACAATAACCATTTACCTCTATTCCTCTATTGTAGCTATCAACTATTTTATATATATATATATATATATATTTTTTTTTTTTTTTTTTTTTTTTTTGAGACAGAGTCCCGCTCTGTCACCCAGGCTGCAGTGCAGTGGTGTGATCTCAGCTCACTGCAACCTCTGCCTCCCGGGTTCAAGCCATTCTCCTGTCTCAGCCTCCCGAGTAGCTGGGATTACAGGCACACACCATTGTGCCTGGCTAATTTTTATATTTTTAGTACAGATGGTGTTTCACCATGTTGGCCAGGCTGGTCTCAAATTCCTGACCTCAATTGCTCCAACCATGTAGGTCTCTCAACTATTCTACTTATAACTCGTGTTATTTAAAAAATATGTTACATGAAACTACAGAGAAGAGACCATTTTCAACTTCAAAATAATGAGTGCAAAACAAACAATTTCCTTTTTTAACCTATTGGCAGATTTGCAACATCACTTTGGAGCTACATACAAAGCCTTTATTTTAAAATATTGGAAAGCATTTTCACAAAGTTTTTAAAAACATGTTTTATTTCTACATTTCTTTCCTCTTTGCATTGTCCTTTGCTCTTCCTTGTTTGCCTTGATGTTACTTTCCTATTTCATTTGTTTTTCTGTCTCTCCAGAAAAACATTTTACTTCGGAAAAGGGAAGTTAAAATAATTGTATTTAGTAAGTGTTATGAACTACATGATTGTAGCCCCAAAATTCAAATGTTGAAGCCCTAACCCCCACTTCAATGAGATGATATTAAGAAGTGGGACCTTTGGGAGGCAATTAAGTTTAGAGAAGTTTATGAGGGTTGGGCTGCCATGGTGGGACTTGTGTCCTAGACTAGCACTCTCTCTTCTCCCCTTGAAGATACAGGGAGAAGGCCGCCATCTGTTAGCCAGAAGTAGGGCTATTACCAAGAGCCCAACCATGCTGGCACCCAAATGTTGGACTTGCAGCCTCTAGAATTGTAGGAAATAAATCATCGTTTAAGCCACCTAGTTTATGGTATTCTGTTATAGCAGCTGAAAATGACTAAGAGAACAAGGTATAAGGGTCCATATATGAGGTTTAAATATATACTGAATATAGCCTTATGTAAAGTTTATAAATACATCTAGAGAAAATGTGTTTATAAAACCAGTAGCTGGGCTTTATATCTTCGATAATAAAAATACATGTTCAGAGCTGTTTGGCCCCACGTTTTCCTGCCCTGGAGGTTGTGTCTTCACATGATGCAGAAAGCAGTGGCTCTGCATCACCCCTAGACAAAGACAGTAGCAGCCCCAGATCTACAGAAAATGCACAGATATTGTTAGGTTTGTGCAAAAGTAATTGTGGTTTTTGCCACTGAAAGCAATGACAATTACTTTTCCACCAACCTAAAACATTATTATTCCTGTTCTTTATTTTTTGGACTTATTCAGTGTTCAACATGGGATACTCTGTGGTGTTAGAGCTGCAGGAATGCTCCTCCAGCTATGGCACATTTGGCAAAGTGTATGGCAACACCTTCCTTCAGTGGAAAGGGCCACTCTTGAAGAACATAACACCTTGAAGAAGCAGGTGTTCCTTATGAACTCCTCCATGCTGGAAATCAAAGATGTGAGTGTCGGTTTCACTGTCTTCTGTGTATCCAGCTGTCTTAAGAACAGCTTGCCATCCTGGAAGAGTTCCAGTTCTTTGCAAATGACAGTGCAAGTCTTTTCCTTTTTCTAATCGATGGCTTCCTCAAATACCTGAGTGCTGTTCTCTGTTTGCATTTAATTTGATAAATGATGTTGACACCCTCCATTGAATTCTAAGTGGAATAATATCAGGAAGAGACACAAGTCTTGTGTTATGTATTCTCAAATTAGACTGGGAATGTCTTCAAATGACCTAAATAGGATGCTTTGATTCCCAGATACTTGTATACTGACCATCTATACCAATATATTCAGCCTTGCCTTTGGTCAGGATGTTCACCTTCTGATTCATCACCACTCTCTGCCTCACATTTTAATTGCACTGGTTACTTAAGGATTGTTGTTTGTAGTACCTTATTATGGCTGTATCATGACTATACCAGTAACCTCAGCACTGGACACAGAAATGGAAATATAAAGTATATGCTGGGGTTTGCTATTGTATCTACAATTACCAGTCAGTTCTACTTGTCTTGATTTTTTTCCTCAGAAAGAGAATAAAATGGCAGGCAATAATAAATTATTTAAAAGTCTAAAATGAAAATCAGCCAAATGGAATATAAATGTCTTTCAGACATTCTATATACCTGGTGATACCATTTAATTGGCCTCATGTAAACTAGCTTATTCATTCTTTTGTGCCAGTAAATAGCTGTAACTGGGGCAATGGCTACTTGTTACTTCAACAAAAATTAAAAAGCCCTCCTGATCATCCAATTCTTTCATCTCTCTTAATTATTTTTTCTACTACTGTTGTAAAAGGGTAATTTCTAATCACTGGGGTGAGAATTCCAAGCATCATTTTCACATATACTTATAACACTCTGAGAGAGAAGCACAGAGTGCTTGTACGTTTAGACGCTGCTTCTGCTGAATTCTATGTGTTAACAAATGCTTGCCCCATTTCAACCAGAAAGCATAGCTTACAACTGCCATTAATGAGACAGGCATTTGTACATTAACAAAAGATGCACTCAAAATCTTATCCAAGAATTCAAGTCATTTCACGCCTGTCAACTGCATTGGAGTCTTCATAATTTTTCTAAGAAAGATGTTAATGGTAGGTGTCACTGTTTTGGGATGACTAATGACATTTAACTATAACTGTGTGCTCCAGCTATGCGCAATCCCTTTGTGGTAGGTAGCTTTTTTTTCTTTTTCTTTTTCTTTTTTTTTGCCTACTTAGTAGCCCATCTTTTTTTTTTAATCTGTATTTAAATCTGCGCTGGGTGCACTTTCCCTGTGTTTTGCTGTTGATCAGAAAACAAATGATGGATCCTCAGTAACATTCTACTTCAAAGACTGAAAGTTGTTGAATTTTGTAAAAAGGAGCAACAAATATAATGATTCTAGACAACAGAGAGACAAGAGCCCCTTAAGGAAAGAAAAGGGAATAGAAGTGTGGCACATTGTGAGACAGATATCTACTTGACGTTTGTGCCAGGAAGAAAGTTTTCTTCTTCTGAGAGTCATTTACAAAATAATGATAAAACCAGTTGGAGGAAGGAAGGAAGGAAAGAAGGAGGGAAGGAAGGAAGGAAGGAAGGATGGAAAGAAGGGAGGGAGGGAGGGAAGAAAGAAGGAAGGAAGGAGAGAGAAAAAGAAAAGAGGAACTAACAAATGTATTTCTCTATTTCTTAACCTACTGTCTCTCTGCTTCCTAAATAGTAACCAGAAGTAATGGTAAATCAACATATCAAAATAGCCTTATTGCTAATGCTGACTTCCAAAACTGTGAAGTCTCTTAGCACCTTTCTCCTATGTTTTTCAATTTACTAATATATTCATCTGACCATTTTTTCTTATGTTTCTGAACTGTTAGTGACATCTCTTAACTGGCTTTTATTCTATCCGATTCTCTTGGAGGAAAGAGAAAGAAGACACAAATCAGAAGATTGACCCAGTCATATTTAACTAACTGTCCTTAGACTGGCACCTAAATACCTAATAGTCTTAAGAAAATTTTTTATGTTTTGTGGCAAATGTCCATAAATAGTTGTTGAATGAAATCATCCAATATTAGAGCAACAAAAGTTTTTACTATTTACTAAATAAACTATTTCGTTTATTTTACTTGTTTATATATAATGTATTTTTATTTTGAATGCAAAACAGGAAGTGCAGTACTTCATTTTATCTAAATTTAGAAACTCCAAAAATATGTCTCGTAAAAAACCAGAAGTGCCATAAATATTTTGTTAATTGGAATAAAATAATTTTTAATGTTTCTGTGAACCTATTAATCAGAAATATATAAATTAACTTTTTAAAAAATCATCATACTTTTAAAATTTTAAATTTTTAATTAGTTGGACATAGCCATAAAAAAAAAAACAAAAACATGTTTTTTGCAGCAACATGGATGGAGCTGAGGCCATTTTCCTAAGTGAAGTAACTCAGAAACATAAAATCAAATAGCACATTTTTTTACTTACAAGTAGGAGCTAAACAATGGGTACACATGGATTTACAGATGGGAATAATAGACACTGGGAGTCCCAAAGGGGGACGGTGGAAAGAAGGTGAGAGCTGAAAAATGACCTATTGGGTACAATGTTTACTTTTCAGGTGATGAGTACACTAGAAACCCAAAGCCCACCACTATACCAAAAACTCTACGTAAAAAACCTGCACATTTACCCTCTGAAATGTACCCTATTAAAATATATATTGTTAGTTGAAAATAATGATAATTTTTATAACAAAAGAGTTATAGTTTTAGACAAAGAACATTTGTTGTGATATTTGTTCATTATTTCCGCCTAAAGATTACTTACATTACTTCATAGTCACATTAAAGAAAGCATCCTTAAATAGTAACAGATCATCTGAAATTTCAAGATAGAGAGATAGATAGATATAGATAGTAGATATATATACAGATATAGATATAGATATATTTTTCTGAGATGGAGACTTGCTCTGTCACCTAGGCTGGAGTGCAGTGGCGCAATCTCGGCCCACTTCAACCTCCACCTCCCACATTCAAGCTATTCTCCTGCCTCAACCTCTTGAGTAGCTGGGATTACAGGCATGCGCCACCATGCCCAACTAATTTTTGGATTTTTAGTGGAAACAAGGTATCACCATGTTGGCAGGTTGGTCTCGAACTCCTGACCTCGTAATCTGCCTGCCTCAGCCTCCCAAAGTGCTGGGATTACAGGCATGAGCCACCAGGCCTGGCCTATTTTTACCCATGTAGTTATTGCACCTCTAGTTCATAAAAAATAAGTAAATACAATAAATAAATAATTGCAACAAATATCTTCTTAACCCTAAAGATAGATGTACTCACTTTTATGTTGGTAGCTATTAAAACTTATACATTAATCTTTTATTTCAGGAACGAATTTGAGATACACTATACATAAATTCTAAATTTAAATATATATGTAGATTTCTAAAAAATAAGCAATATTAAGCTATCCTTATGTCTAAAAAATCTTTCAATTCAAAATATTATTTTGTTCCCTGTGACTCATTATAGATCATTCCTGACCCATAAAGTGCAGCATCTTCTAAATAAAGGCCTTGCTCTATTTATATATTAGACAAATATTTAGCACAAGCAGATTGAGATTGTAGATGTTGGCAGCACCTGCCATGAAAAATTTTATGTATCACTAGACTAATTTATTTATGTTACATCCTTTTCTGAATGCTAGGGCTTAAGAGATATGGGGAATATAAAAGCCTCAAAAGAATACCACAAATGTAAATGCAGATTTGAGGCATTTATTTTTATTTTAAATAACAAACTATTTATTGGACTTCTAAAATGTTGTAAAAATAATCCAGGGAAAATGGAATTATTCCACCTGGGGAGTTCATTAAGGGCTTTTGTTGTTAATGTGTCTCCTTGCAAGCTCACATGCAAGCCTCAGAATTAAAAAAACATTAATACTATCACATTTGTATTCTATGAGACAGTAAAGCAGTAAAGCAGTAAAGCTTTAATCTAGCTTTCTGAAAGAAAAATATTGCTTGTTTATTAAAACATAAAGAAGAAACATGAAACTATGTTTTACACCAAAAGAAAATATATATATAAAGACTGAGAAACTTGTGTTAGTTCAAGTGCAGCATATTGAAATTACATTCTGGCCCATCACCAAGGTTCATTGGTCTTTCTCCTAAGACAAAGTCTAATTTGCTGTTTTAGAAAGTATTTTTCTATTTATGCATCTCTTTGTTATAGAGTCCAAACAATATTTACAGGACAGTTTTCACTTGTCTCAATTTTAAAATCAGCTTTTAAATCTCTGGTCATGCATTTTCAAAGTAATGACTAAAGAAGCACGTAAATGGTGCCATAATTTATTAATACAATTAATGGAATCTAAATATCAGAATCAATGGAAATATAAGACAGCTAAAGACCAATGAACCACAAAAGCATGTAGAGCTTGTTGGAGGATACTTCTCTCCACATACATTGCTTAGCAGCAACTCTTTCCTGAGGCTGATGTTAACTCTAGGAAGCAATTAATATTGAAGCCCCTGAAAAAATGAAAGAGAAGGCAATGCATCATGTCTGGAAAAAAATGCCCATTTTTTAAAGGTGCCTAGTGGGATTCACACTTTACTCTAGAGGTGGAGGAATTTTAAAACAACCATCGGTCCTATAAACAGAAGTTTCCACATACATACAAGACGCTTCAAAAATGATTTTTAAAATGCACAGCAGCATGTGTCATTAGTTTAATTCTTATTCTATTTCATGTATTTATTTTTTAACTCTTTTTTTTAGGTTCAAGGGTACATGTGCAGGTTTGTCTTATAGGTAAACTGTGTGTCACAGAGGTTTGGTGTAGAAAAAATTTCATCACCCAGGTAATAAATATAGTACCCAACAGGTATTTTTCTTCTGATCCTCTCCCTCTTTTCACCCTTCACCCTCAAGCAGGCTCCAATGACAGTTGTCCCCCTCCTAGTATTCATGTGGTGTTGCTGTTTAGCTCCCACTTAAAAGTGAACACATGGTGCTAGAGGCCATTATCGTAAGCAAACACCAGAACAGAAAAGCATTCTTTACAAAATTATAGTAAGGCTATAACTTTGTAACCATCTATGACAAAGTAGAGTTACTTTAAACTGAAAACTTTGTTTCAAAATACAATCATGAGTAAATTGCTTTTTTACAGTAGCACTGTGCTTTATAAATTAGTAATTCAGAAGCATTTATGAAAATTTAGTTAATACTGCATAACTACTTCAGTTATAGAAACATAAACATAATAGTAAAAATGGCAATGTTATTAAGCTTTTCTTTTCTAATAAAAGGAAAATGATGGATTTTAGCATAAACATAAGAGGAATTTATGGATTCTCCAGTTCATTGTAAAAAATGCCCAAAGACAATAACTTTAGGCAGTCAGGATATTCTGAGAAACATGAACTGAGCTTCATAGAGTGATTAAGACATGAGAATTGCTCAATGTTGCTATGAGTAAATATTAAAGAGCAAACCAATCTAAATTATTTTCTAATAATTTCATTTCAAAAATACTAAAATTTTTCTTCCTACCTGAAAAATATTTAAATAGTTCAATGTTTTTTAATAATAATTTTATAACTGCTATGGAAATAGACTTGCAATAGGCATCTACAATCTAAAAGGCATCTCATTAGATTAGGAAATACTTTTAAGTTACATGCTACAATGCACAGGGGATATTCTATCGAGATTACTTTGAATCATCTTTGGATGGACAGAGGAAAATGAGGATAAGAGGGGTGGACTGATTTATCAACAAAGAGCTCCAGTTCAACCTATTTAAGATATGAGGCATGTAGGTAAAGTTTCACTTAAACAAAAGGTTTCACTGCTGAAAAACAATCACTCTATTAAGTTATCAGGTTATCAGGCCATCAGTTTCTATGACAAATTGCAAAGCAAGTCTAAGGAGATATAGCATCTGTTACTAGCATCAACAGCCAAGATAATCAGTTTGGGGAATATCTATAATTTTGGAATATTGTGAAATATAGGTCAGAAAGTCATGACAAAACTAATTTGAAATTTAATCAATATTTTGAAATAACATGTAACAACATTTAGGTAAGTAAATTTACATTAAAACAAATTGCTATATTACTATAATGAATTTTGGAATGGTCACCACATCCATATGGCTGAAAAGATGAAGCCACTGCCCTACTGTATTTTTTGAGGTTTCAATTATGGTTTTAAATGCAATCATTTCAATCCTGTGTTTTTATAGTTGCACATTACATGTTGTTATTTTACAACAAGAAGTATTAACTTCAACAATTCGTTTTTCTCTGAACAATATGATTTGAAGGCCATCACTATCTTCTTATAATTTATTACTATCTGAAAAAAAATTGTTCTAATTATTCATTGTTGCTTTTTCTCCATTTAACTAGAATTTAAACTCTGAAAGACTAGAGCCCTTTTTTATCTTATTCACTGATTTAACTTTAGCACCCAGAAGAATGTCTAGCACATAATTAGGCAGTCAATAAATTTTGTTGGATGGACAAACCATTGTTTCTTATGGTCTAAAATTTAATCTCTCTATATTTTAGCTCCACAATCTGTAAAATGGGGCTGATAAGGAAGAAAAGTGAATTAGGTTTTGTTTGTATCTCACAGAACACTAAACTTTAAATATTGGGTTGGTGAAAAAGTTATTGTGGTTTTTACCTTACTGTCAATGACAAAAACCACAATAACTTTTGCACCAATTTAATAATTTGACAATGAAAAATATCTGGAAAACTTGAGAGTAGTTAAATGCGGTGGCTAAAAAACTAGTACTAAATAGCAAATGTCAATATGCAAGAAATCAAGAGGAAATATTATTGAAGGTAATGAGGAATGTTATTTTCATTGTGAAAGCCTGTTTATGAATATATGGTGGTGGACAAATTGCAGGCATGCCAGGGTGCATATGAATAATCGATGACTCCACTCTTCTCACTATGAACGTGTAACATTGATAATATCAACATAAGTATACAAGGACAAATGTATGTAAAAATATAAATACATTAGAGAAATAAATGAGATTTAATCAAGACCTTAATTCCATTAGTGCTCTGTTTTAATAAAACTATATCCTTTCACGCTATCAAGTGCCAAGCTATCAAGTTAGCCCTTTGCTGAGTGCCATGAATAAAAAATATAAATAAATGAATGCCCTTTTATCACACAGCCAACCATTTTTGGTGGACAAAATTACAACTTGTGAAAAAAAAAAATTCACTTTCTCTCACAGATATTTTAGATTTGGTATTTATTTGTGGCCCCATCAATAATTTACTTTCTGAAAGTGCTTATGCTGTATACAGTTTAATGATGTTATGACTAGAAGTAGATTATTTATTATTGTTTATGTAATTGGGATTAATTCACTTATAAATATTCTATTTCAAATGGTCTACCTTAAAGTGTTTTTATTATAAGTAAAATGAACATTACTGTGGAACATTAAATAAAATTCATTGAGTCCATTCAAGTCAAACTCTTTATTTTAAAAAATTATTTTAAGACATTATGTTATGGGTTTCACTTTGAAAGACTTTCTCCAATATAATTACTGGATGTTCATGTGTAAATTTTAGTTGGGGTAACTCTACAAAATCTCTTTAAAGATATAATGTTAGTACAAGATAACGTTTATTTTAGTGCTTTATCTATGAAAATTTAAGTCCATATTATCACTTTCTATAGTACTGATAATGCAATTCACTCTCCCAGATTTTCACCTTGTAAATTTTTCCTCTATACCCCCAAAAGTTATTATTAACATGATGTGTAACATATAGTATATGATAAAACCTATACAATTTGTAATAAAATGTAACATTTTATTAATATGAAGAATAAGCCCCACTTATTAAGTACTTATGGCCAAAAGAAAAGCAATTCTCAACTACTAAAACATCTAGCATAACTGTAAGTTTAAGGTTATAAGGGGACTAGAGGAATGTTAAATGAATTCAGGAATTAACCAAACCTTGAAAGTGAGAAGATCTGTAAGACAAATGTCTTAATTGGTGTTCCCCAGAAGCAGATCCTTAAACAATGACTATTGTACATGGACCATGGATGGGGAGTGATAAAGTGGGAGGAGACGCAAGACAGCCATAAAGCCTACATATGAACCAACTACCACTAGGGAGAAACAACGCCTAATCCCATCGCAACAGGAAACATTAGGAAAAAGGGTACACAATATTCTTCAGAGATATTCCATCCAAGGAGCCAGGGAACTGAGGTGTTTCTGCACCACCAGCTGTCATTCCTTGGTTTATACATTGATCATAGGCATGTTAATTCCAGTTTGTCATCCAGGATTAGACTACCTTTTGTAAAGCTTTGAAGGAAACCCCAGGCAAAGAAATAGACACTGGCTACTTTTTTAAAGTGAAGTCTAAATACATGGGCACTGACGGCCAGTGTTTACTGCAGCAGACTGGATGTCTTTAACAAACACGTGACAAGTGTCCCTCAACAGGTATGTGATGGGGGATGGGAGGAGAGATAAATGGTTATAGAAAAAAAGATATTTCATCTTAATTGATTAGAAAGACCTGAACATATTCATTTCCTTGATTGTGATGGTTTTATGGATGTGGATGTATGCCAAATCTCATGAAATTATATAATTTGAATGTGTACAGTTTCTTATACTGTTGGTTGTACTTTAATAAAACAGTTTTAAACAACAGTGGGATTAAAAATAATTTTAAAAGTCATGTCAATGACGATAAGACAATTATCTGGATCTTGATTAAAACAAAGCAATGTTATGAAGAATGCATTTGTACGACAATTAAAACTTTTAATTGAGACTACAGACTGGCATTATTAGATAACATTAAGGAATTTTAATTTTTTGACTATGATGTTGGTTTTACAAATATGTTACCACATATGATGTCTGGGACTTGTTTTTTACTTACTTATTTTTATACGTATTTTATAAGGCCAAGTCCCTCTCTGCTGCCCAGGCTGGAATGCAATGGCATGATCATGGCTCACTGCAGCTTCAACCTCCTGGGCTTAAGTGATCCTTCCACCTTAGCCTCCCAAGTAGGTGGGACTATAGGCACACAACATCGTGCTCAGCTAATTAATTAATTAATTCATTTATTTGTAGAGACAGGGTCTCACTATGTTGCCCAGGTTGGTCTCGAACTCCTGGACTCAAGTAATCCCCTCCACTTTGACCTCCCAAAGTGCTGGGATTACAGGTGTGAGCCATCCTGCCTGGTTGGATTTGTGTTTAAATGAACTTGTGAAAAGAAAGAAAGCAAGAATAGGCCATGATGGTTGATTTTACCATTTTCTGTAGTTTTGTGTACATCTGAAAATATCTATAATAAAAAAAGTCAAAAATGAGAACCAAAACTAAAACAAAGTAAGAAAAAAATACCATTTGCCATTTTTGCGACTGAGTAAAATATATATTTAATTACTATTACTTTCAACACAACACAACTTTTGTTTTGGTTTTAATTGGTGTCTATGTTTTAAAACTCTATCATGTACCATGATTTATAAAATGCTGACTTTATTGCTAATGTATTGCAAATCATTGAAGTGATTGAAGACATAATCTTGAAAACCAAATTTTTTTATTTATTTTTAATTTTTCAAATGGCCTCCGTAGTTAATAAATTTTAACTAATTAAATATACCTTTTGTAAGATGAGATAAAACTAATGAGTGATGTAAAGTTATGTTGAGCTATTGGTGTACCATGCATATTTGCTATCTGAGTGTGTAACTACATTAATTTCTTTGGATACATTTAGTTTGGCCTTCTGTCTTCAATGTACTTCCTTTAATTACTTGCTGAGTATAAAGTCAGCCTTATTAGTTTCTTCACAATACATTTTCATGAGTATGTACTTTGCTTCAAAGAAGAATTTGATTAGTTGTTGATTTGCTTTTAAAGCTTTGTCACCAGGGCTGGGGTGCAGCGGTGCAGTCATAGCCCACTGTAAACTCGAACTCTTGGATTTAAGGGATCCTTGCCTCAGCCTCTGGAGTAGCTGGCCAGAGGGGCACTCCACCAAGCCTGGCTAACTTTTAAATCTGTCGTAGAGATTGGGGGTCCTTGTTATGTTGCCAAGGCTTGTCTCAAACTCATGGCCTCAAGCCAATCTCCCTATTTGTTCACATAAAAATAAAGATATATAATTCTTGAAATATAATAATTTAATAATCATATTCTCTGAGTCCAGCTTCTGGTTTATTATAACCTATAATAAAGTAGAACTTCTAAAATGCAAATAGAATAGAACATATTCTAAGTACTTTCTAAAGTTGAAAACAAAAAAAAATAGGATGAGGAAAAAGAGAATTTGGAAAACTCAATTTCATATGCAGTGAGTTCAATGTAGTGTGTTGAAAATCCAATCAGACCCTGGCATTTCTGTAAGAAATGTACTTTTAACAGAACCTAATAAGTAGAGAGGAAGACAGTCTGCTAAAAGAATAATTTCATTTTTTTACTCAAGATAACTGCTACATCATAATGATAAAAGATTTCTTGTATGTGTAAGACAAAGTTGAGCTATAATGAGGTTATTCATTTTTTTTCTTTCTAGTCCAGAAAATAAATGAATTATAAGTAATGGGGCCCAATTTGGAGTTCTTTTTTCTTGCTGAAAATAAGGACTTTGCAAAACTCTGATATATTTTTGAGTGCTGCTGCACGCTCTTCAGTCATTAGAAATGAATTTATAAAGGTTGAGAGGAAAGGGAGACTGCAGTTCTATTTATATCCTATAATATAGTAGCAGTGTCATGAAACCCTGAGGCTAAACTTTCTAAGGAAAATAAAGAATGTCTGCAATGAATTAACTAGAAAAGAAACTATTTTTTAAAAGCCCTAATTGACATTAAACCAAATAAAGCAACTTTTTAAAAGAAAGACTGTTGAAAGGAGATTTCTTTAATGCAATAGAAAGCACAGTAAAAACACAAAGAAAATTTGAATGAGTTACCAGCTAGTTATTCTAAGGGATGAAAAACATTAAATTGTGCCATTTATATCCTTTGTGGTCATTCTGGGGTCTTTAGGCATTCATTTTCAATGCCTGGAATTTATTTCTATTATCTTTAGTTCAGATGATATTTATGCTCTCTAATTCAGTTGGCTAACATGGTCTTATAAGTAAATACATGTTTGAAAGAAAATTTGAAAGTGGGAATAGTTTAACAATATATTATGGAAGAGCATTTTAGAGATATTAAAATAAAATGTTAACTATTCAAATTCTTGTTAGAATTTGTGGGCATTTGTATAAAAATTTACTCGAGATAAACAAATGTTGGGAAATACTGTAGGGAGGCTTTCTAAATGACACCACACTGATTAGTTTTCTTTCTTTTTCTTTTTCTTTTCTTTTTTTTTTGAGATGAAGTCTCGCTCTGTCTGCAACCTCTTCCCCCCAGGTTCAAGCAATGCTCCTGCCTCAGCCTCCCGAGTAGCTGGGATTACAGGCACCCACCACTACGCCCGGCTAATTTTTGTATTTTTAGTAGAGACGGGGTTTCTACTTTACTCCAGTTCCCAGCAAGTTCCTCATTTCCATCTGTTACTTTGTCAGCCTGGACTTCACTGTCCATGTCACTATCAGCATTTTGGTCATAACCATTTAACAAGTCTCTAAGAAGTTCCAAACTTTCCCTCATCTTCCTGTCTTCTTTTGAGGCTTCCAAACTCTTCCAACCTCGGCCCATTACCCAGTTCCAAAGTTGCTTCCACATTTTAATGTATCTCTATAGCAAAACTCACTTCTGGTACCAACTTTCTGCATTAGGCAATTCTTGTGGTGTGTCACTATAAAGAAATACCTGAGATTGGGTAATTTACAAAGAGAAGAAATTTAATTGGCTCACGGTTTTCTACTAAACCCCATCTCTACTAAGGTGGCTCATGTCTCTACTGAGGTGGCTCACGCCTGTAATCCCAGCACTTTGGGAGGCCAAAGTGGGTGGATCATGAAGTCAAGAGATCGAGACCAGCTTGGCCAACATGGTGAAACCCTATCTCTACTAAAAATTCAAAAATTAGCCAGGCGTGGTGGCAGGCACCTGTAGTCCCAGCTATCCAGGAGGCTGAGGCAGGAGAATCACTTGAACTCGGGAAGCAGAACTTGCAGTCAGCCGAGATCACACCACTGCACTCCAGCCTGGGCAACAAAGAGAGACTCCATCTCAAAAAAAAAAAAGAAAAAATGTTTATGAAATGAAGTCCATATTTCTGAGAAACATTATAATGTGCAGGCAGGAAAAGTTAACACTATATGTGAGTTTTCAAAAATAAAATATTAAAGTGGTATTATTATTTTTTTACTTTCAACCTGAATATTTTTCTAAGAATTCAAGAAACTAAGACTAAGCTCAACTTCATATCTCTGCTTCGGTTTATTTATTGCATGCTGGTCAATAGAAATTGGAAAAAAATCATGTTAAACAAAATATTCTTTATTGTAAACCATCAATGATAGAAAATGACCCTTACTTTTCACTCTCTGCATATATATATATATATATATATATATATATATATATATCTCCTTATTTTAAGATCATAGTTGCTTTTGTTTCTATATTGAGTAAGCTTATATTATTTTAAAGTTTACCCATATGTGTTTTTTTGCATTGCCAGAATGAATTATGTATTTTTTTCTGATCAGTTTAGTCAACTTTTTCAACCAAAATACCGTCTGCATAATTCAAATTTTTTCAATAAAAATTTATTGAGTACTTACTCTGTTTTAGGTATTATACCTTGTGCTAATAATAAAAAGATTAATATAGATTTATAACAATTACAATGCAATATAAGATAGGAAAATATGCATTAACAGAAATGTAAAAATAAAAATGACATTATGCTGCACACCCAAAGATTAATTCTATCAAAATGTGATATTGGAGGGAGGAGAGGAAAATGAATGCATATTTTCATAGAGGAAGGAACATTTTCACAGTATGGAAGAGGGAGGTACAATGCAAGACAAGTGTGAGACAGGCCTGGCTTTTTTGTAGAATTCAGTGATTTCTAGCCTACGCTGTAAAGGGAGTGGTAAAGTTTAATTGATAAAAACTCAGCCTCTCTCAAAAAAGTCAGCATATAAAATTCTGGTTTTCACACTTAGTAATGATGTGACACTGTGTTCTGTTTTTTTTTTATTTTTAAAATGGAGATAAAAATGACTCCTATCTAGTCAGGTTGCTGTTAAGACTTTATTGGGCCTGGCAAATAGTATATATCCAGTTAACTCTTCTAGCTTTTATAACTAATTCTCACATTTTCCATACATAGCTACTTCACGTCTGGAGCCCTTTTTGCTGTCTCTCGAGAAGACATGCTCCCATCTCTGCTGCATTTAATCATTTATTTGTTTTCGGCCTATGGCTTCCTCCATTCTCTTTCTGTGCAATCAAGGCAGAGTATTTCACTTCCCATCTTTCAGAGAATCTCTAAACCATTGACTTACTGATAATGAAGACCTTTTTTTCTGAATTGCTATGTTATTTTTTCATACCTATTGTATTAGGCCATTCTCACATTGCTATGAAGAATGCCTGAGATTGGGTAATTTATAAAAAAAAGTTTAATTGACTTACAGTTCTGCAGACTGTACAGGAAGCATGGCATCAACATGTGCTCCACTTCCATAGAGGACTTAGGAAGCTTTTACTCATGGCAAAAAGCAAAGCAGGAGCGGCACATCACACGGTGAGAGCAGGAGAAAGGGAGAAAGGAGGAAGATGCCACATACGTTTAAATAGCCAGATCTCCCAAGAACTCTCTCACTATCATAATGACAGCACCAAGCCATGAGGGGTCTTCACCTGTGATCCAAACACCTCCTACCAGGCCCCTCTTTCAACATCAGGAATTACAATGAGATTTAGAGGTGACAATATCCAAATTATATCACTTCACCACAGCCCTTCACATTTCATGTTTTTCTTGCACTGCAAAATACAATCATCCCCTGTCAATAGTCCCCTAAAAGTCTTAACTTGTTTCAACATCATTCAAAATTCCAAAGTCCAGATTCTCATCTGAGACAAGGCAAGTCCCTTCCACCTAGTAGTCTATAAAATCAAAACCAAGTTATTTATTTACAAGATACAATGAGGATATAGGAATTGGGTAAATATCATTCTAAAAGGGAGGAATTATCCAACAGGAAAAAGAAGCAACAGGATCCAAGCAAGTCCAAAACATAGCAGGGTTTCCATTAAATCTTAAAGCTCCAAAATAATTTCCTTTGACTAAATGTTTCACATCCAGGTCAGACTGGTGTGAGAAGTGGACTCCGAAGGCCTAGTACAGCTCGGCCCTTGTGGCTTTGCAGGGTACAGCCCCCATGGCTGTTCTAACAGGTTGGATTTGAGTGCTTGCAGCTTTTCCAGGTTCAGGGTTCAAGCTGCCATTCTGAAATATAAAGGATGGTTGTCACCTTTCCCATAAATCCACTAGGCAGTGCTCCAGTGGGGACTTTGTCTGGGGCCTCTAACCCCATATTTGCCCTCCATACTGCTCTAGTAGAGGTTCTCTGTGAGGGCTATGCCCCTGCAGCAGGCTTCTGCCTGGGCACCCAGGCTTTCTCATCCATTCTTTGAAATATAGACAGAGGCTGACAAGCCTCTTTTAGTCTTGCACTATGTATGCAACAGGGTTAACACCACATGGAAGCCACCAAAGCTTATGGCTCGCATCCTTGAGAGTTGCAACTTGAGATATATTTGGGACCTTTGAGCATAAGCTGAAACCAGAGTGTCCAGAATGTTAGGAATACCCTCCTGGAATGGCACAATATGGTGATACCCTGTGCCTGATCCATGAAAACATTAAGTCCCCCTATGCCTGTGGGCCTGTGATGAGAGAGGCTGTCTTGAAGGTCTCTGAAATGCCTTTAAGGCCCTTTTCATATTGTCTTGGCTATTGTCACTTAGCTCCTTTTTAGTCATGCTAATATCTCTAGCAAGTGATTGCTTCACAGCCCTCTGAATTTCTCTCCTGATAATACCTTTAATTTCTCTGCCGCATAGCCAGGCTGCAAATTGCTCAAACTTTTATGCTCTGCTTCCTCTTTAAATATAACTTCCAACTTTAAGTTATTTCTTTGCTCCTACATCTGAGTGTAGGCCACATCTTGAGCACTTTGCTGCTAAGAAATTTCTTCTGCCAGATATTCTAGGTCATCACTCTCAATTTCAAACTTCCACAGATCCTTAAGGCATGAACAAAATGCAGCTGAGTCTTTTTGCTGAGGCATAACATGCAAGACCTTTACTCCAGTTCCCAGCAAGTTCCTCATTTCCATCTGTTACTTTGTCGCCTGGACTTCCTTATCTCCATGTCACTATCAGCATTTTGGTCATAACCATTTAACAAGTCTCTAAGAAGTTCCAAACTTTCCCTCATCTTCATGTCTTCTTCTGAGCCTTCCAAACTCTTCCAACCTCTGCCCATTACCCAGTTCCAAAGTTGCTTCCACATTTTAATGTATCTCTATAGCAAAACTCACTCCTGGTACCAACTGTCTGTATTAGGCAATTCTTGTGGTGTGTCAGTATAAAGAAATACCTGAGATTGGTTAATTTACAAAGAGAAGAAATTTAATTGGCTCACGATTTTGCAGACTGTACAGGAAGCATGATGCTGACATCTGCTTGGCTTCTAGGGAGGTCTCAGGAAGCTTTTACTCATCGTGGAAGGTAAAGTGGGAACAGGCACATCACATGACAAGACCAAGAGCAAGAGAGAGATGGGGGAAATGCCACACACCTTTAAATACCTAGATCTTTCAAGAACTTACTCACTGCCATGAGGACAGGGCCAAGCCATGAAGGATCTTCCTTCATGACCCAACACCTCCCACCAGGCCTCACCTCCATTACTGGGAATCACAATTCAACATGACACTTACAGGGGTTAACATCCAAACTATGACACCTATTTACTAAAATGTAAATGATATTTTAGAAGGAAGTGAGACATGTACATTTGTTCGTTCATCAACCTAACCAAATAACCTGAATATGCCATTTTTCTTTCTCTTTTTTGAGAAATTATTTTTAAAAAATAGTAACAGCAAGCTGGAACAGCAACAACACAGCAATAAAAAGACAGAGAAAAATCCCAGTTGGGAAGTTTATTTTGTTTTCTAAAACCATGTTTTTTGTTTGTTTTGTTTCACTGAGTTTTAGTGTTTGCTTTACTGTAATGTATTTACTTCTTCAAAATATTGGTTATATTAGCTCTTGACAATCTTTCAAGATAAGCCAAATTGCAAACTTCATAGTACAAGATCTTTTCATCTTATCATCAAACAATAAAAGTTTCATGGGATCTGTTTGTAGGCCTTTTTAAGTCTGAGTAAAGAACCTTGACACGTACTGTTAGACAGCATTATTGGTGTCTTAACTAATAGAAAACCTTAAGGAGACAAAAAATGTAAAAAATTCCTACAAGTATGAGTTGAGGGTTACAAATTATTTTTAACCTAAGAAAAACTGAATGAATTATTTCTAATTTAAGAGAAACTTAAGTACAGTATGCAAAATTCTTTGCAAAGAATTCCCCACTCACCAAACAAAGAGTTACCCTCTGTCAATGGCCTGTCATCTGGAAGTTTTCTATATGATTTGGTCTGATTCTTTCAGTGATGCTAAAAATCAGAGTCTTGTAATGACTTTATTTTATTTTAATATTTACATTCTTATTTCTGATATGGTAAAGTGTCCTCTGCTTAATTTTTAAAATAAACATTTTTAATTCATTTCTTAAAATATATATTATCATATATATTTTTATCATTTTTTTCTTGACATATTTTTGTCTTTATATCTAAATGAAAATGTGCTTAAGGCTTTCAAAATTACTCATGGAATCTTTCTCTGTTAGCATAACACAAAGCCGTAATCTGATAGCTCGATGATCATATTTTGCTGTATTGCAATCAAGTAAACTATCGTTATTTCATGGGAATGATTTTGGTTTAATATTGAAATGAAGTCATTCTAAAACTTTAGAGCATTGACACAAAACGGATGGCATATTCAACTTGAATGATTTTAGGGAAGTTTAACAAAGAAACTAGTTGCAAGGTGCGGACAGAGTTAATAGACAGCACTAAGGAATGGTCCATTACTCTGGTGTTAGTATGAGTAGGGAGCCCTCATCACCTACTTTTATCAAATTTGGTGTGTCTGAATTTTTCAATGTACACACATAATCTGTATCTTCTAAACTTTCTTAAACATATATGACATTATACTTATCAAAATATTCTCCAATTTTTTGTGTGTGCACTTCACATCCAATAATGGGAATTCTAACTGCCATATATTATTTCTTGGTATATATTTACCAAAATTTAAAACAATAAAAAATAAAGGGTTGGGAGGCCGAGGTCAGTGGATCACAAGGTCAGGAGATCGAGACCATCCTGGCTAACACGGTGAAACCTCGTCTCTACTAAAAATACAAAAAATTAGCTGGGTGTGGCGGTGGGTGCCTGTAGTCCTAGCTACTAGGGAGGTTGAGGCAGGAGAATGGTGTGAACCTGGGAGGCAGAGCTTGCAGTGAGCCGAGATTGCGCCACTGCACTCCAGCCTGGGAGACACAGCGAGACTCTGTCTCAAAATAAATAAATAAATAAATAAAAAATAAAGGGTAAAGAAATGTGAAACAAAAATACATAAGAAGAAAGAACTAAATAAGTAAAATTGATGAATAAGTAAATAGTAAATAAAGAGAAAATGCTTTAAAGCTGTAAAAAAAAAGTTTATTATAGTAAGTGGATCTATTTCCAAATGACTGCATTAAAAAGTAACCCATTTGTATGAATAAAAACACTACCTACTTTTGTTATATAATGTGATCGATGACATAATATTCTGAGTACTTATTAAACATTAGGAAATTTTATTGCTGATTTTTACAAACGAAGTCTACATTTCTCCAAATAAATAAGGGGATACTTCTCAATTTTTCTTTCATTCATCCCAAGCAAGCACAGTTCAAAATATTGCTAGTTTCATAAGAACATCTGATTGGTGATTTGACTAAGTCATCACCTAGAAACTCGAGTCTGGAAGCTTTCCAATGAATGAAGCTCGTTTCTGATTCTCATCAGTGCTTAGTGTAATGAGTTTATGTTCTTCTCCTAGATTATTTCTATTGATTGCTCTATATATTTCTCTGAGCTAAAGAAACATCATATCTTACTTGTTTATATGTCCCTGCCTATTTCTTGTTTAATTTTATTATTTTTTTTCTATGTGGTCCAAATCTGTCTAAGGTGAGACTGCTTTGCAGGTAGTGAAGGGAACCCTGGCTGGGCCAGGATAGCAGGCAACTCATGTCAGTTATTGGGTTCTGGGAGAATGAAAATGTAATGGAATTACCCAGCTCTCCCTCCACACCCTCTACCACTACTTCAGTAACAGACAGTAAGAAAGACTAGACAAATTCTTTTATTACATATTTATTGGGAACATAATGATTTTACTGAATATGTTCAGATAGCTCAGGTGAAGCCCAATAAATGTCAACTCTGAGAAGCCTGAATTTGAAATCACGAATATGAATTTTGAACTAAGAGTAGTTAAGGAAGCACAAGACATAGCAAAACAAAGGACAAATAACAAAATAAATTTAAGAACCACTCATCTGCCATAATTAAATTTATCAGTATGTGAATATAATCTGCTTAGGCTTGTTGGCTGAACTTATAAATCCTAAAGAAAGATGCAATCTCAGTTAGTATTTCTACCCATAAGTGAAAACCTAGTATAGCAATTTTGTGAGGAATTTCTAGTATTTAAATTATACTTGGAATTATATGTCTGCATTTAGAACTAAGCCACTTGCTTGTGAAGACAGGAATTTGATCATAAGTTATCTGTAAGGTTTATGTAAGTGTCCATACTTTATGAATGAGAAGACCAAATCAAAATGATGTTGCAGTCTCGGTTTATTCAGTTATGCTTTTATTGCTTGACTTTTTTACTTCCATGCAGTTCATTGATGACTTAGTTTTCTCCTCAGATGACTAAAGATAACTTAAAGTATCCCTAATAATCATTTGTGTCAGTTGTCAGTTTATTATTTCTCGGCTCTGAATTCACATTTCAACGTATGCTCTAAAACAGAATATTTTAAATAATTTTTCCTTTGATAAGAGCAGTAGAGGGTGCTTGAGGAATAGTGCAGTAGAAAGAGACTTCCTGTGTGAGCCGGGTGTCAGCAGGACTGGGGTGAGGATAGCTAGTAGAGCCTGCCCCAGTCACCTGCCCAGCCTTTGTCCCTCTGTGACATTGCAGCCTCTGTCTGGTGATTATCTTTGCACAGCACTCTCTGGAAACCGGAGCTCCCACAGACTGTCCGCTCTAAAGATCTCCGGCCCCACCAATTGCCGGGAATCCCTTGGATACACTTGCTTAGAGTTGTTGATCCCCTACACCCTGCAGGTGGCCTTTCACTTGCCAAGGAACTCGGATCAGCTGTGGTCTGACCAAAATTGAGAACTTTCCTGGTATCCAGTGAACTGACCCACATTTTCTCCAATAAAGTCTGAACACCTTCCAAGTTTGTCCTTGAGTACTCTGCATCAGCCCTAAGATACCATACAGAGTTTCCTTACATCTTATCATTCCTTCTTTTTTTCTTAAAAACAGACAAACAAAAGTTTATTGGTGACGTTAAAGAAAAAGGCTGCCGGCGGGTGGCTGGAGCCAGGGTTACGTGGGCTGCCCCTCTCGGTCTTGCTGGTGCATGTCTGAGATCAGCCATTGCAGCTCGGCCGCATGGCGCATGTGCATCACGATGACGCTCTCGTATTCCCTCACCGACAGCACTGAGCCCTTTGACAGTGCTGGGCGGCTGGGGCCCACGGTGCTCTGGGGCTGTCCCTCCAACCAGGAAATCTTCAGAGGGTTATCCACCAGGCCAACTTCATTCTGGACAGCCAGCTCCGCAGCCTTGGCAGTCGCAAACTCCACCACAGCAGTGCCTACCTTCTTACTGGAAAGCACCAGGTTGAGAACCTCACCATACTTTTGCAAAAGCCATAGGAGGACGTCTTTGGAGTAGCCACCTTTTGACTCCCCCCGAGCCTTCTTGCGCTTCCATTTTAGCTTTAGTTTGGGGGTTCCTTGGCCTTTAGTATTTTGTCTTTCCTCTCAACCTCTGGTCACGCTCCTGGTGTATCTGCTCCCAGATCAGCCTCTGCTCTTCCTCCAGCTGCCGGGAACCCTCTTCACTCAGGCGTTTGATCTCTCGCTCTAGTGTCCTGGTGCTCAGGCTCTCCTCCAGCTCCTCCTCCTCTTCCTCCTCCTCCTCCCCCCTCCCCTTCCTCCTCCTCCTCCCCCTCTCCCTCCCCCTCCGCCTGGTGCTGCCGCTCCCGCTTCCGGGCCTCCAGATCAAGCTTCACTTTATTCCTTTTTTCATCTAGTTTCTGAGTCCTCTCTGCTGCCTGCTTCTTGGCTTTCCTGACCTTGTCATACGCAGCCCCGGCTGCAGCATCGGTCAGCACCTCCAAGGCCTGAGAATGCTGGTGGAAGAGTTCAGCTGCCAGTGGAAGAGTTCAGGGTAGCAGGAGGAGGCCTTCTGCCTATATGCCTTCTCCACCTCTTTGTCTGCCACCTTCTCCTCAATGTCTAGCAGCGCGTACAGGTCCATCTGTAAGATCTTGCTCCTTGGTCACTGCCATGGTTCTGACCTGACGGATTCGTACTCCATTTTTCTTTCTTTTCTTTTTTTTTTTTTAACCATACTTAATAGTGCTTTGTATCAAACATCCCTGCTAATCTACTGTGTGATGTTTATCTCCCAAATGAACCCAGACTGCCACATTATTTTGATTTGGTCTTCTCATTCATAAAGTATGGAGATTTACATATTTCTTAAAGATAATTTATGAACAAATTCCTGTGTTCGTAAGCAAAGCAAGTCATGAAAATGCATTGCAATATTTTAAAACAGCATTATTTACTTTTAGTTATGGATGATTTTAATAGCATACAGAATGAATGTGCATTTTCAGGAAAGAAGCATTCTAATTAAAATATTGCAGATGGGTTCCTGAAATAGGGATAATGTTTAACTTAATGGGATTTTTTTGAATATCTGTTCCATATCACGTGTTTGTGGATTTAAAATTTCTATTAATTTCCCGACGATTTTGACATTATCCTGTATTTAAAATTGGTGGGTGGGTGCAATTATACCTGACAGAAAAAAAAATGAGGGAAAAAATATGTTTAAGAAAATCATTAAAAATATGTACATTTTATTGATAGTGTAAAATAGAAACCTTATTTAACATTTTAATATTTTTCTCTCATCTTTACAAATACATTCAACAAGTTGAAAATAAGTTTCTAAGAATTGGTCTGTAATGGCCAGGCACGGTGGCTGAAGCCTGTAATCCCAGCACTTTGGGAGGTGGAGGCAGGCAGATCACCTGAGATCAGGAGTTTGAGACCGGTGTTATCAACATGGTGAAACCCCATCTCCACTAAAAATACAAAAATTAGCCAGATGTGGTGACAGGCACCTGTAATCCCAGGTACTCAGGATGCTGAGGCAGGAGAATCACTTGAACCTGGGAGGCTAGGTTGCGGTGAGCCGAGATCGCACCATTGCACTCCAGCCTGGGAGACAGAGTGAGATTGTGTCTCAAAAAAAAAAAAAAAAAAAAGAATTGGTATGTACTGCATTTACACATTTTTAAAATTGAGTATAGAAGGTTTGGGATCATGTGTATTATTCAGATTACATCAGAAGTACTAAAGATTCAAGCAAAAAATGCACTCATTCAGGAAAACCCAATTTATAGATGCTTGAGCTGAGAAATTCCAAGAGAAGGTTATAAGGCTATTAATTATATTTGAAGCCTACAAAGTTTAGTTCTACTTGTGTTTAATGATGTGTCTTAGTAATATAATGTATTAGAAAACAGCCCTAAATATGATCTCTATATAGGGTAATCATTTTCCATCCTTTCACTTTGTGAAAACAGATGAAAGGTTTTTGGATTTGGGGTTATTTTAATTTTACTTATTTAGGGGCACACTTTACCATTGCTCTATTAAACTTCGATTTGAGGAAAATTAATTTAACCAGTCTTGTCAGAAAAAATAGGATTTGCTAGTTTTCTGAAGGGACAGTTCGCTATAGAGACCAAAAATAACTGGCACTGTGGATCTACCCCAGTGATGCTTTAGTGATCATTACAGATTGATTTGCTGGGCTCTCTTTTTATGGCCTGTTTTTCTATTTTGGCTCAGCCTAGGAAAGCTGGTGTCTGGTGAATAACATAAATGTTATTTAAAATGTACACCTCATAATATCCCTAGTACTCTTAGGTTTATAAGGGGCATGCACATATATCATTTCAATTAATCCTTACAAAATAAACCATTAAGTCAATAAAACAGACACTTTCACAGTATAAAATTTTCAGAGACAGGGAAGTTAACATTTATCTTTCCTTGGACACATTTGGATGCATTATTAAAATACAAATTTTGCATGAAATATATCACTTAATTTTTCCAGCTCACATGATGTTACTTTGAATCTGAATATTGCAAGCCCAAAACGTAAAAAGATGAAAAAGTTTCTGTAGATGCAGAAAATATGGGCATAGCTTAACTAGGGTCCAATTCAGCCCTATCTACATCTAAGATTCATGTATTTCCACCGTACCTTAATAGCTCTTCTTCCTTCCTTCCTTCCTTCCTTCCTTCCTTCCAACAATGATTTATTTGGCATAAAATAAATGAAAGTGATGTACTTTGTGCTGTCCATACACCCAAGTGTAAGATTTAGTTCTTGTGCTGAGAGACATGTTTCACAGATTTCAAATAAATAATTATTATGCAAACTCAGGCCTTTTCAAATTGATCCAGTTATTTCCCCTTTATTTTGTTATAGCCTCTCAATTTTGAATATTGATTTGCTCACATATGTGAACAAATTCCATCCCAATAAAGATGGAGAGCAGAAAACAAACTTCTAACCCCCAAACTCTCATTTTAAAACTTGTTTTATATCGTTTGTTAGTTTGATGTTGTTGCTATTGTTGTTATTTTGCTGCTCAGAGAACTCGTGGTTAAAATTTACCTATACTGGGGGCTTATAGTGTGTCAGATATGTCCTAATAAACTAACATTTAAGGAGAGTTAAAGGACTTTATGATAACAAAGCATTATTACATTTTTAAAATTGAAATATAAAATATGTACACAAATTATAAGTGTATAACTTGATCAATTTATACAAAATTAACAATCCTATAGAATTTTCTTTAGTTTAAGATGCAAAACATTAGAAGCATCCTAAAAACCCCAGGAGGAAGGAGGTAATCATTAAGATATAGCATGAGATAGGATTCTGGTTGGTTTAAGTTGTTCTATTTCCTGATTTTTCTATAAATTACATGAGTTCACATTTTGATAATTCATTGAGGTTTATATTTTAATTAATTGTAAATAATTATCTTTATGTGTTACATTTCACACTAAACCCATGTTTAAAAAGAACAAACCAATGTATAGTGTTACATATTTTCATTATGTAAAACTTTTTTTGAGAAAATGTGCTTTGATATGAATTTTTGTTATTTGTCAAGAATCTTGATTTTATGCATCAAAATTTGCTAAGATATGTACTCTGCTTACTTCTTCATATCATGTAGCATTGTCAGACATCATCTTTTGTCTACAAATCTACACATGTATAAAAATTTTCATTCCATCTTATTCAAGTACATATTCTTATATGTACTTATTCAGGTATATATATATATAATATGTATAATCTCACTTTTCTACAAATCATGGTTTAGAAATTCTATATTTGCCAAATTTGTTGTTTATTTTAAAAAGAAAAAATATACAGCTTTTTCTTTTACCACAATATTTTCTCTACTTTGCTTTATTTACATTGCATGAATTACAAATAAAAGTGTCTGCAATGACAAACATCTCCACAGCTAGACATTTCAACACAAGCTTTTTCCTTTGGTTATAACTGTAGGTAGAAAAACTAAATGAATGCTACCTTCCTCAACTCTTCTGTGAAAATAATAATATTTTAATCAGTATTTAACTCTTACTATTTGGAATAACATGCACAATGTTAACTCTTATATATAAATTTCCTCTCCATCATCCTTATGTGATTTCACCTCTTTCTATGCCTTTATGTTCTTTTCTACTGATCCACTGTGCATTCTTTTCTCACTGTTTTTAGTGTTCTAAATTTTCTGACTTTATTGGAGAAGTGGGAAGAGCTCGATGGATATTATTAATTTATATAAACTTATTTTTCTTGAATTAATTTGATATTATGAAACATCTGGATTAGTGACTATTATTTTTATACTCATCTAAACAACTGATATGTTAAAGACAAAAGTCATTCTTTCTTACATATGTGGAGAGCATAGGATACCAAGAACTCCAGACAGACCATTCAAATTTGCTTTCAATGCTAATGAATTCTATGTGCTTTCCAACGGCAAAATCTTCCCTTTACACAGGTAATTTTTAAAATCACCTTTATATGGGTTGTGCAGATATGCCAATAGACATAGAAACAAAAAATATTATTTATCCTAATAATCTTGAATTAACCATAAATTTTCTCATATGATTTTAGATATATTCAAAAATATGATAAATGTGAAAGAGATAAAAATTTAAGTTTAAGGCCTGTAAATGATGAGAATATTGTGTCAATGACCCTTATGTGTTTCCCCCACCCCCCTTTCAAAAAAAATCTTTCTGAGACAGGGTCTTTCTTGCATAGGCTGGAGTGCAGTGGCACAGTGATAATCCACTGCAGCCTTGAACTCCTGGGCCCTAGCAATCCTCTCACCTAAGCCTCTTTAGTGTCTAGCACTATAGGTGCACACCACACACCCAGCTATTTGTTCATTTATTTATTTATTTTGAGATGGAGTCTCACTCTGTCACCCAGGCTGAAGTGCAGTGGCATGATCTTGGCTCACTGCAACCTCCATCTCCTGGGTTCAAGCAATTCTCCTGCCTCAGCCTCCCGAGCAGCTGGGATTACAGGTGCCCACCACCACCCCCAGCTAACTTTTTGTATTTTTAGTAGAGATGGGGTTTCACCATGTTGGCCAGGCTGGTCTTGAACTCCTGACCTCAAATGATCCACCCACCTCAGCCTCCCAAAGTGCTGAGATTACAGGCATGAGCCACCATGCTGGGCACACCCACCTAATTTCTAAAATATTTTTGGTAGCCACCAGTTCTCACTGTTCCCCAGGTTGGCCTCAAACTCCTGGGCTCAAGCCGTCTTCCTGCCTCAGCCTCCCAAAGTGCTTGTATTACAGGATGAGCCACTGCACCATCCACCTATGTTTTACACCTCCCTGTTTCCATGCTCTTTGCCACTTCACTTGGATTTGCCCATTGCTTGACTCTGGGTTTGGTCATGTGATTTGCTTTGATCAATTGAATGTTAGCCAATATCATGCAAATAGGAGTTTGAAATGTGCCCGTATGATTGGGTTTTTCTCCTCTCTCATTCTTCTATTAATACCACAAGGGCATACCCAGACTAGTCTACTGGAGGGTAAGAAATGTGAAGTGTATCTGAGTTGCTCTAGTCATCCCAGGTGTGCACAGCCTTGATAAGCAAATAGGCTAGTTAATCCCCAGACACATAAGTGGGCCTAGCCAAGAACAACGAAGTCACCAACTGACCCAAAGACAATTGGTGAAGTGATTGAAATTGAACATTGCTTATTTGTATCATGCTTTTTCTAGAGTTATTTAAATTTTAAGGTATGTTTTTGTGAAACCTTAATACAAATAATGATTTAATTTAAATTTAAGATTTTTAAGATGTTTTTACAAAACTGCATCTGTTCTAATTAATATGCTTGCAAATTAAAAATAAATTTAAATAAAAAGCAATTTTATCACCATTGGGTAATTTAAAAATTTATATTTAATATGAACACTTCCATGTAAATTTTAACTGCAGTGTGCACTTCATGATAGCAGCAGCTGCTTACTGATGGGTTTTTAGTTCTCAGCTATTTTGAGGGCTAAACCCCAGTGGGGACTTTGTCGGTGTCCATACCTATTAATAATTGCTGACAAATAACCAACACCCCAAGAGCAAGTTTCCTGTTGACAACTTGTGAAAAACAAACATATGGTAACTTTGCCATTATCTTAATTTTTTTACAATGTATATTTCACTGGATATCAAAGATGATATCATCTGTTTCAGTAAAGTACATGTGATTTTGGCAGAGAGTATGAAGAATTTTTCTTAATGTACTTTTTTGTCGTTGTTGTTTAAATATGGCTTTTTGAGGTGAAGAAAGTGCATCTGGAAAACACTAGATAAGCTCAAGTGTGACACCAAAGTAAAGAGATTCTGTTAGCAAAATAGGCTTTTTGTAGAACTTTTAAAAAATGGTATCTTCGAGTGTGTGTGTTTATTCATAGCATTTTCCTCTGCTGTTTCTTTATCAAAGGTAGTGGTGCCTAACGTAGCAATGTGAATGATCAGAATAGAAGCCTCTAGGAGACTAAATATAAAAGGACTTTTTCTACTGCTTCCCCACTCTCCACAAGATACCAGCCATAATACAGTATGGCCAAGATAGTAAATCACTTTTAAAACCCAGAAACTTCTTCTTTGGAATGGTACGTCCTTATGAAATCACAGAGGAGGGTTCCGTGTAGACATAGGCTTCTTAGAATAAATGAGATTAGTTTTCTTATGAAGGGTGGCCATAACTCATAGATTTTTATTCTCTCAAGAAAATTGTATATTGTTATATTTTGTATAGCAAAGTAAAAGTTGAATTCTCTCTCCACTTAGAATATAAAAAGTTGCCATTGACCGTCACTTTCACTCAAAAAAAAAATGTATATAAGCAAAAAAAGTATATGTGTGTGTAAATATATACACACACATATATACACATATGTACTTTTTTTAGAGAGCGAGAGAGAGACTTAGATCTACTCATATCAATAAGAAATATGCTATGAGGATATTAACGACAGAAAGTAGACTTTAAGACATCTAGGAAAACAAAGAAAAATGTATTGACAAAATAAACTATTAATCAGATAGCATAGCAATCTTACATGTGCATACTCTTAAAAGAAGAATTTTATAATGTATGAAGAAAACACAGAGAATTGAAGAGAGACAAACTCATGATCATAATTGAGGACTTTAATATCTGTTTCTCAGTAATTTTTAAAACAATTAGATAAAAACTGACAACTAATCTACTTGACCTTATTAACATTTATAGAACACTCTATCTAGTAACAATACATATTTATTTGAAATATATGGAACATTACATATATACTAAATAATGAATCTGGTCTCTCCCTCTCTCTCTATATATATACATTTTTTAAAATTAAATTTGTAGTCAATATTTTTGTTACTATGGCTCTGTAAACATTTTTTTTCCACTACTGAACTACCTAGTACCATGATAACTTTTTTATTTTTTATTTTATTATATTTTTCCATAAGTTATTGGGGTACAGGTGGTATTTGGGTACATGAGTACATGAGTAAGTTCTTTAGTGGTGATTTGTGAGATTTTGATGCACTCATCACCCCAGCAGTATACACTGCACCATATTTGTAGTCTTTTATCTCTTTTTATCTCTTGCCCCACTTCCATCCTTCCCCAAAGTCCATTGTATTATTCTTACGCCTTTGCGTCCTCATAGCTTAGCTCCACATATCAGTGAGAACATATGATGTTTGGTTTTCCATTCTTGAGTTACTTCACTTAAAATAATAGTCTCCAGTCTCATCCAGGTCACAGCAAATGCTGTTAATTCATTCCTTTTAATGGCTGCATAGTATCCCATCATACATATACATATATATATATACACACACACACATATATATACATATATGTATACATATATATGTATGATGGAATACTATGCAGCCGTTATATATGTATATATATACACACAGACACACCACAGTTTATCCACTCGATGATTGATGGGCATTTGGGTTGGTTCCACAATTTTGCAATTGTGAATCATGTTGCTGTAAACATGCATGTTCAAGTATCTTTTTCTAATACTGACTTCTTTTCCTCTGGATGGATACTGAGTAGTGGGACTGCTAGATCAAATGGTAGATCTACTTTTAGTTCTTTAAGAAATCTCCACGCTTTTTTCCATAGTGGCTGTACTAGTTTGCATTCCCACCAGCAGTGTAGAACTGTTCCCTGTTAGCCACATCCACCACCACATCTACTGTTTTTTGATTTTTTTATTATGACCATTCTTGCAGGAGTAAGGTGGTACCCCATTGTGGTTTTGATTTGCATTTCCCTGATCATTAGTGATGTTGAGCATCTTTTCATATGTTTGTCGACCATTTGTATATCTTCTTTTGAGAACTGTCTATTCATGTCCTTAGCCCAGTTTTTGATGGGATTATTTTTTCTTACTGACTTGTTTCAGTTCGTTATAGATTCTGGATATTAGTCCTCTGTCAAAAGTATAGATTGTGAAGATTTTCTTCCACTCTGTGGGTTGTCTGTTTACTCTGCTGACTGTTCCTTTTGCAGTGCAAAAGCTCTTTAGTTTAATTAGGTCCCAGCTGTTTATTTTTATTGAATTTGCTTATGGGTCATTGGTCATGAAATCCTTGAATATGCCAATGTCTAAAAGTATTTTTCCAAAGTTATCTTCTAGAACTTTTACAGTTTTAGGTCTTAGGTTTAAGTCCTTAATTCATCTGGAGTTGATTTTTGTATAAGGTGAAAGATGAGGATCCAGTTTCATTCTCCTACATGTGGCTAGCCAATTATCGTAGCACCATTTGTTTAAAAGGGTGTCTTTCCCCACTTTATATTTTTCTTTGCTTTGTTGAAGATCAGTTGTCTGTAAGTATTCGGGTTTATTTCTGGGTTCTCTATTCTGTTCCATTGGTCTATGTGCCTATTTTCATACCAGTACCATGCTGTTTTGGTGACTATGGCCTTATAGTATAGTTTGAAATCAGGTAGTGTGATGCTTCCAGATTTTCTCTTTTTGCTTAGTCTTGCTTTGGCTATGTGGGCTCTTTTTTGATTCCATATGAATTTTAGAATTGTTTTTTCTAATTCTGTGAGGAATGATGGTGGTATTCTGATGGGGATTGCACTAAATTTGTAGATTACTTTTGGCAGTATGATTATTTTCACAAAATTGATTCTACCCATCCATGAGCATGGGATGTGTTCCCATTTGTATACGTTGTCTGTGATTTCTTTCAGCAATGTTTTGTAGTTTTCCTTGTAGAGTTCTTTTGACTCCTTTGATAGGTATATTCCTAAGTATTTTTTTTTTGTCAGCTATTGTAAAACGGGTTGAGTTCTTGATTTTATTATCTGCTTGGTCGCTGTTGGTGTATAGAAGAGCTACTGATTTATGTACATTGTATCAGGAAACTGCCAAATTCTTTTATCAGTTCTAGGAGCTTTCTGCAGGAGTCCTTACGGTTTTCAAGGTAAATGATCATATCATCAGCAAACAGTGACAGTTTGACTTCCTCTTTACTGACTTGGATGCCCTTTCTTTCTTTCTCTTGCCTGATTGCCCTGGCTAGGACTTCCAGTATTATGTTGAAGAAGAGTGGTGAAAGTGGGCATCCTTGTCTTGTTCCAGCTCTCAGAGGGAATGCTTTCAACTTTTCCTCATTCAGTATTATTTTGGCTGTGGGTTTGTCATATATGGCTTTTATTACATTAAGGTATGTCCCTTGTATGCCGATTTTGTTGAAAATTTTAATCATAAAGTGTTGCTGGATTTTGTCTAGTGCTTTTTCTGCATATATTGACATGATCATGTGATTTTTGTTTTAAATTCTGTTTACGTGGTATATCACAGTTATTGAGCTGCATATGTTAAACCATCCCTGCACTCCTGGTATGAACCACACTTGATCATGGTGGATTATCTTTTTGATATGTTGCTTGATTCAGTTAGCTAGTATTTTGTTAAGGATTTTAGCATCTGTGTTCATCAAGGATATTGGTCTGTAGTGGTTTTTTTTGGTTATGTCCTTTCTTGGTTTTGGTATTAGGGTGATGCTGGCTTCATAGAATGAATTAGGGAGTGTTCCTTCTTTCTCTAACTTGTGCAATAGTGTCAAAAGGATTGATGCCAATTCTTCTTTGAATGTCAGGTAGAATTCTGCTGTGAATCCATCTAGTCCTGGACTTTTTTGTGCTGGTAATTTTTAAATTACCATTTCAATCTCAGTGCTTGTTATTGGTCTGTTCAGGGTATCTAATTCTTCCTGATTTAAGCTGGGAGGATTGTATTTTTCCAGAAATTTATCTATCTCTTCTAGGTTTTCTAGTTTATGTGTGTAAAGGTGTTCATAGTAGCCTTGAGTGATCTTTTGTATTTCAACGGTGTCAGTTGTAATATCTCCTGTTTCATTTCTTAGTGAGGTGATTTGGATTTTCACACTTCTTTTCTTGGTTAATCTTGCTAATGGTCTATCAATTTTATTTATCTTTTCAAAGAACTAGCTTTTTGTTTCATTTATCTTTTGTATTGTTTTTGTTGTTGTTTCAATTTCATTTAGTTCTGCTTGATCGTGGTTACTTCCTTTCTTCTGCTGGGTTTGGGTTTGGTTTGTTTTTGTTTCTCTAGTTCTTTGAGGTGTGATCTTAGATTGTCTATTTGCAATCTTTCAGACTTTTTGATGTAGGAATTTAAGTCTATGAACTTTCCTGTTAGCACTGCCTTTGCTGTATCCCAGAGGTCATTATTGTCCTTACTGTCATTCAGTTCAAATAATTTTTTTAATTCCATCTTCATTTTGTTTTTGACCCAATGCTCATTCAGGAGCAGGTTATTTAATTTCCATGCATTTCCATGGTTTTGAAGGTTCCCTCTGGAGTTTATTTCCAGTTTTATTCCACTGTGGTCTGAGAGAGTGCTTGATATAATTTCAATTTTCTTAAATTTATTGAGGCTTGTTTTATGGCCTATCATATGGTCTATCTTTGAGAAAGTTTCATTCACCGTTGAATAGAATGTGTATTCTGTGGTTGTTGGATTAAATGTTCTGTATGTATTGTTAAGTCCATTTGTCCCAAGGAATAGTTTAAATCCATTGTTTCTTTGTTGAATTTCTTGATGACCTGTCTAGTGCTGTCAGTGGAGTATTGAAGTCCCCCACTATTATTATGTTGCTGTCCATCTCATTTCTTAGATTTATTAGTAATTGTTTTATAAATTTGGGAGCGGCAGTGTTAGATGCATATATGCTTAGGACTGTGATATTTTCCTGTTGGATAAGGCCTTTTACCATTATATAATGTCTCTCTTTGTCTCTTTTAACTGATGTTGCTTTAAAGTTTGTTTTGCCTTATATAAGAATAGCTACCCCTGCTCACTTTTGGTGTCCATTTGCATGAAGAGTCTTTTTCCACCCCTTTACTTTAAGTTTATGTGTGTCCTTACGTGTTAGGTGAGTTTCTTGAAGGCAGCAGATAGTTGGTTATTGAGTTCTTATCCATTCTGCAGTTCTCTATCATTTAAATGGAGCATTTAGGCCATTTACACTCAACGTTAGTATTGAAATGTGAGGTACTGTTGCTTTCATCTTACTCTTCGTTGCCTGTGTATTTTGTGTTTTGTTTTGTTTTGTTTTTCATTTTTGTTTTTTAACTTGTATTTTTGTTTTATAGGTCCTGTGTGATATATGCTTTAAAGAAGTTCTGTTTTCATATGTTTCCAGGATTCATTTCAAGATTTAGAGCTCCTTTTAGCAGTTCTTATAGTGGTGGCTTGGTAATCGTGAATTCTCTCAGCCTTTGCTTGTCTGAAAATGACTGTATCGTTTCATCATATTTGATGCTTAGTTTTCCTGGATACAAAATTATTAGCTGATAAGTATTTTATTTGAGGAGGCTGAAGATAGGTCCCCAGTCCCTTCTAGTTTGTAGGGTTTGTGCTGAGAAATCTGCTGTTAATCTGATAGGTTTTCCTTTATAGGTTACCTGGTGCTTCTGTCTCACAGCTCTTAAGATTCTTTCCTTCATCTTAACTTTGGATAACCTGATGACAATGTGCCTAGGAGAAGACCTTTTTGCAAAGAATTCCCAGGTATTTTTGTGCTTCTTGGATGTCTAGGTCTTTCACAAGGCCTGGGAAATTTTCCTTGATTACTCCCCCAAATATATTTTCCAGGCTTTTGGAATTCTCTTCTTCCTCAGGTACACCAATTATTTTTAAGTTTGGCTGTTTAACATAATCCCAGACTTCTTGGAGGATTTGTTCATATTTTCTTATTCTTTCTTCTTTGTCTTTGTTGGATTGGGTTAATTTGAAGACTTTGCCTTCGGGCTCTGAATTTCTTTTTTCTACTTGTTCAATTCTGTTGCTGAGACTTTCCAGAGCATTTCGCATTGCTAAAAGTGTGTCCAAAGTTTTCTGAATTTTTTGTTGTTTTTTCCTTAAGCTATCTATTTCCTTGAATATTTCTCCCTTCACTTCTTGTATCATTTCTTGAATTTTCTTGCATTGGATTTCACCTTTCTCTGGCCCCTCCCTCATTAGCTTAATAACTAACCTCGTGAATTCTTTTTCAGGTAAATCAGGGATTTCTTCTTGGTTTGGATCCATTGCTGATAAACTAGTGTGATTTTGGGGGGTTGTTGAAAAGCCTTGTTTTGTCATATTAACAGGGTTGGTTTTCTGGTTCCTTCTCATTTGGGTAGTCTCTGTCAGAGGGAAGGTCTAGGTCTGAAGGCTGTTGTTCAGACCCTTTTGTCCCACGGTGTGTTCCCTTGATGTAGTACTCTTCCCTTATTCCTATATACCCTTTGTCTTCTGCTACCAGGGTGGGTAGGGATGGACCGTTAGGTGGGGGCGGGGCTAGGCATGTCTGAGCTCAGAATCTCCTTGGGCAGGTCTTGCTGGGGCTGCTGTGGGGGATGGTGGTGAGAGTCCCAGGTCACTGGAGTTGTGTACTTGGGAGGATTATGGCTGCCTCTGCTGAGTCATGAAGATTTTCAGGCAAGTGGGGGAAAGCCGGCAGTCACAGACCACACCCAGCTCCCACACAAACTGAAGGGATGGTCTCATTCCCACCGTGCCTGAAGTGATGGTCTCATTCCCACCATGCCTCCCCAAGAGCCCAGAGTCCATTTCCAGGCTGAGGGCAAGACTGGCTTGAAAACTTGCCTAGGGCTATCCACCTCCCAGCTGCTAAATAAAAGGGCTTTAGTTCTTCCCCCGCCTTGAAGTCTGCCCAGCTCTCAGTTCTGGCCAGGAGGGTTCTTGCCCCATTCAAGTTGTTACAAAGTTCAGCTAGAGAATTCCTTCTCCCTCTGGAGTTTTACCTTCTGCTCCTCTGGCCACCCTCTCGATGGATCCCTGTAGTGCCAGGTAGGAATAGGCTGCTTGGGGACCGAGCGAGCTCCCAGGGCCTTTCTGCTGCTTCCTCTACCGTTGTATTTCGCTTGGCTCTCTAACTTGACTCAGCTCCAGGTAAAGTCAGAAATGTCTCCCACAAACAGACCTTCAACCTCTCCAGAAAGGGTGTGTGTTCCTTTCCGGAGAGGAAGATCTGCTTTTCCCACTTCCACAGTTGGGATACTTACAATATTTGGGGTGTCTCCCGGGTCCTGCAGGAGCAGTCTGCTTACTTCAGTTGGTCTGTAGGTCCTCTCAGGGTTGCTGGTTTGCTCTTGCAGTTGATCTGAGCTAAAATTCACAATGCAAGCCTCCACATTCTGCTCTGTCCAGAGCTGCAATCTAGTCCTGCCTCCCATCTGCCATAATCCCCCTTTTCTTTTCAATATATATTAAGGACTGAAATAAAACAGCATATTCTCTGATCATAATTAAGACATCAATAAATATACAAAATTTTTTAAACAGTAAGAAATTAAGCAAAATAACTATGAATATCCTATATGTCAAAGAATAAATCACAAGAGGGATTATAGGATATTATTAATTCCATAATAATCAAACCACATCCTACAAAAACCTGCAAAATTCAACAAAGCAGTAATTTGAGTGAAATTAACAGTTTATACTATACAAAAATAAAAGATCTAAAATCAATGATAGAAGCTTTTAACTTAAGAAAAAAAAAATAAACCCAAAATAAGTAGAGGAAATAAAATTTTAAAAAAAGGACTAAATAATTGAACCATAAAATTAACAATGAAGGAAAATTTCAAAGTCTAAAGTTGGTTCTTTAAAAAGATTAGTAAAATTGGTGAAGCTTTAGCAAGATTGATCATGAAAAAGATAAAGGTAAAAATAAATTACCAACACTAGCTATAAAATAAGAATTGATATAGTTCATAAAAGGATAATGATGGGATAATATGAGCGACTACTAATTAAATAAAACAGTAAAATAAAGTTTAAAAATCTTATCAAAACTAATGCTAAAAGAACAAAACTAAATATCTAAATAGCTGTATAGCTATTAAATATATTGAACAGATGATGTAAAAAAAAAAATACTTATTACAAAGAAAAACCCAGAATCGTATTGATTCATTGGTAAAGTCTATAAAATACTTGAGGAAAAATAATACCAAAATTACATAAATCTTCCAAAACGTGGAAGAGGATGATACACTTCTTACGCTGTTTTGTAAGGCCAGCATAACCTCAATACCAAAAGGTTAGCCATTTTAAACTATAAAAGAAAAACAATACAGGCCAATATCTCTTTTGAATTTAGACCAAATACTGTCAATAAAGTATAATCAAATTCTATACAGCAATATACAAAGAAGATAATATATCATGGTGCTCATGTAGGGTTTTCCTAGGAATAAATATTTTAAAAATCAAAGTCAATAGTGGTAATTTGCCACATTAAGAGAAATAAAGAGAAAAATCATTATTATGTCAACAGTCGCAGCAAAAAAAGGTTTTAAAAATATACGTCCATTCCTGATTGGAAAATTTTATATATATAAATATATATATTTATATCTATATCTATGTCTATCTATATATATATCTGTGTATATATCTATATATATATCCATAACCCAATAATACAAGGAAGCTTTCCTAATATGATATTGGACATTCATGACAGACCTAAAAGAAAAATTCTAAACAATATAGGAATGTAAATTATCTCCATTTCCATGTATGATTATACCACAAGTGCTAGCCTATACAATAAGGGAAAAAAAATTAAAATATATAGGTTGAAAATATGTAAAAGCCCATTACTTAAAATAAACATTATTATGTATAAGAAAACCTTAGATCAGCTGGGCGCTATGGCTCACGCCTGAAATCCCAGCACCTTGGGAGGCTGAGGTGGGAGGATCACCTGAGATTGGGAGTTTGAGACCAGCCTGGCCAATATGGAGAAACCCCATATCTACTAAAAATACAAAACTAGCCTGTTGTGGTGGCACATGCCTGTAATCCCAGCTACTTGGGAGGCTGAGGCAGGAGAATTGCTTGAACCTGGGAGGCAGAGGTTGCAGTGAGCCAAGATGGCGCCACTGCACTCCAGCCTGGGCAACAAGAGCAAAACTCCATCTCAAAAAAAAAAAGAAAGAAAGAAAAGAAAGGAAAACCTTACGGTTCAATGAGAAAAAAAAAAACCCTACCAGAATTAATAAATGTATTTAGCAAAGTTGCCATGTGCAGGTTATTATATAAAAACAATGAATTCTCTAGCAATAAATCAATATAAATAAAGCAATATAAATTACCTGATGTTAAATATAATGACAAATTTCTAAGATCTTTTCACCAAAACTACAAAACATTACTGATAAAAATTAAAGAGCTAAAGAATTAAAAAGGTAAATAATATATATATATCATGATTATTGAGACTGGGATACTGAATATTATTATTATGTTTATTCTCATCAGCTTAACCTTCTTTTGTGGAAATTGGTATGCTGATTCTAAAACTATGTGAAAATGTAATGGATATAGATTAGCCAAAATAACCTTGTAAAAGAGAAACAACACAGTGGACTTTTACTATCTGACTTCAAGAATACAAGCTTTGTTACTATAGTCAATATTGGTATACGGATTAAAAAAGAAGGGAACAAAAAGATAATCCAAAAATGATGTGTGCATTTATAATCAATTGAATGTTGACCTAGTCAATGTGAAGGAGAAGATATATCTTTTCAATAAATGGTTCTGGAACAACTGGATATATTAGTCAAAGGTATTTTTAAGAAACTTTTTATTATTTTTATATAAACTCTTATATCACAGCTCAAAAAATCAGTTTAAGATGAGTTTTAGACCTAATTATAAGCACTACCCATAAAACTTCTAGAAGAACAAAGATTACCATTATGGCTAAGGTTAAGCAGAAATGCATTCGAAAAAAGAAAACTATAAAAGAAAAAAATGATAATTTGACTTAATATAAAATAAACATTTGTTCTCATCTAAATAGAAAATCAGAAGAAAAGCCACAGACTACAGGAGGGAAAACACTTAAAAAGCATATATATGGCAATTCACTAACATCAAGAATACATAAAATGTACACAAGTCAATAGTAAAAATATAAATAAGCCAATTAAAATTGGCACAAACTTTAAAAAGGAACTTTAAGTAGGAATAAATTTAAAAAGCATGTGAAAATATGTGATGTCACTTTGAATTGAGAAAATGCAAGTTAAAACATTATTGATATACATTCTTTTCCCACTAGAATGACTACAGGCAAATTGAAAAATTCTGACAAAGGTGTGGAGCCACAGGGAGTTTCATACATTGCTGGTTAAAATAGAAAATGCATAACCACGTTGCAGGACTGTCGGAGTGTTTCTTGACTAGGTAAATATTTCACTACTAGGAATCTACCTGAAATAAATAAAAACATATGAACTCAGAAAGACATACAAAAATGTTCATAACAGCCTTATTTATAATAATTATGTAAACAAGGCAACTCTCCATTAAGAGGAGAATGAATAAACACACTGTTACATGCATACAATTAAAGACTCAAAAATTAAGAGGAAGTAATTACTGATAGACCTAGTGACAAATGGATTTTAAAACATTATGAGCAAGAAGAGCCATACACACTTACAAAATGCGTTGTACTAGTTCATGTATAATGCTTCTAAGAATAATCAGGCAAAAGTGATCTATGGTGAGCGTGTCCATCCACAAACAAGCACAAATCTACTAGAATTTTTTAAAGTACAATATTTGTGAAGTCTTTATGCATATATGAGAGTACAAACATTTCTTAGTTTTCTACCAAAACTCATTTTAATGGATGATTGACAAATACTTTCAGGTCATAAAAGAGGACTTCTGCTGACAGTGTTCTGAAATCCGGTCTTTGTGCACATTGTTTTGCTGCATATTTTAATGTTTTACAGTGAGATGTATGAAATAGTAATCTAAATATTCTCTCCCTCTATTCTCTACAGTGCTGCCACAGACAGTGTTATATGTCACATCCAAGGGGTGTTGTTAGGTAACAACAGATGTTGTTCAACACTTTTATCCATTTGAGAAGATTACCATTGCTGTACTGGAGGCATATAATGTTTTCATAAAGTTAACTAGTTAAAAAATGCGTCATCTTTATTTCAAGGTGACCATTCATTATGTTCTTCCAAAGCTTTAAGGAAAGCTAGATATAAACTTCAGCTGTGACTAACACCAAACAGAATTCTTTGACATCTGAGCCAGCTGTTCCTCCATTTGAACAATGTTTAATTTCTGAACTGATGAAAAAATTTTATCTTTAAATGAAGCAATGACTTTGTATTTGACTATCTCTTTTTTTAAAATTAAGGCAGTGCATAGTGGCAGCTTATTTATTTATTTTTAATATACATTAAGTTCTGGGATACATGTGCAGAATAGGCAGGTTTGTTACATAGGTATACTTGTGCCATGGTGGTTTGCTGCACCTATCAACCCGTCATCGACATTAGGTATTTCTCCTAATGCTATTCCTCCCCTTGCCCCCCACCACCCGCAGGCCCTAGTATGTAATGTTCCCTTATCTGTGCCAATATATTCTCATTGCTCAACTCCCACTTATGAGTGAGTACATGCAGTGTTTGGTTTTCTGTTCCTGTGTTATTTTGCTGAGAATGATGGTTTCCAGCTTCATCCATGTCCCTGCAAAGGACATGAACTCATTCTTTTTTGATGGCTACATAGTATTCCATGGTGTATATGTGCCACATTTTCTTTATCCAGTCTAACATTGATGGGAATTTGGGTTGGTTTCAAGTCTTTGATATTGTGAATAATGTTGCAATAACATTATGTGTGCATGTGTCTTTATAGTAGAATGATTTATAATCTTTTGGGTATATACCCAGTAATGGGATTGCTGGATCAAATGGTATTTCTGGTTCTAGGTCCCTAAGGAATCACCACAGTCTTTTCCACAATGGCTGAACTAATTTACACTCCCACCAACAGTGTAAAACCATTCCTATTTCTCCACATTCTCTCCAGCATCTGTTGTTTCCTGATTTTTTTAATGATCACCATTCTAACTGGCATGAGATGGTATCTCACTGTGGTTTTGATTTGCATTTCTCTAATGACTAGTGATGATGAGCTTTTTTTCATATATTTGTTGGCTGCATAAATGTCTTCTTTTGAAAAGTGTCTGTTCATATCCCTCACGCACTTTTTGATGGGGTGGTTTTTTCTTGTAAATTTGTTTAAGTTCATTGTAGATTCTGGATATTAGCCCTTTGTTAGATGAATAGATTGCAAAAATTATTCCTTAGAAGAAAAACTAACAAGCAGAAAGCAATAGCATCAACGTCAATAAAAAAGACGACCACGCAAAAACTCCTTCCAAAGGTCACCAACAGCAAAGACCAAAGGTAGGTAAATACACAGAGATGAGAAAAAAAAAAACAGCGCAAAAAGGCTGAAAATTCCAAAAACCTGAGTGCCTCTTTTTCTCCAAAGGATCACAACTCTCCGCCAGCAAGGGAACAAAACTAGATGAAGAATGAGTTTGATGAATTGACAGAAGTAGACTTCAGAAGGCGGGTAATAACAAACTCCTCTGAGCTAAAGGAGCATGTTCTCACCTAACCCAAGGAACCTAAGAACCTTGATAAAAGGTTTCAGGAATTGCTACCTAGAATAACCAGTTTAGAGCAGAACATAAATGACCTGATGGAGCTGAAAAACACAGCACAAGAACTTTGTGAAGCATACACAAGTATCAATAGCCGAATCAATCAAGTAGAAGAAAGGATGTCAGAGATTGAAGATCAACTCAATGAAATAAAGCATGAAGACAAGATTAGAGAAAAAAAGAATGAAAAGGAATAAACAAAGCTTCCAAGAAATATGGGACTATGTGAAAAATACCAAACCTACATTTGATTGGTGTACCTGAAAGTGATGGGGAGAATGGAACCAGGTTGGAAAACACTCTTCAGGATATTATCCAGGAGAACTTCTCCAACCTAGCAAGGCAGGCCAACATTCAAATTCAGGAAATACAGAGAGCACCACAAAGATACTCCTTGATAAGAGCAACCCCAAGACACATAATCATCAGATTCACCAAAGTTGAAATGAAGGGAAAAATGTTAAGGACAGCCAGAGAGAAAGGTTGGGTTACCCACAAAGGGAAGCCCCTCAGACTAATAGTGGATCTCTCGGCAGAAACCCTACAAGCCAGAAGAGAGTGGGGGCTAATGTTCAACATTCTTAAAGAAAAGAATTTTCAATCCAGAATTTCATATCCAGCCAAACTAAGTTTCATAAGTGAAGGAGAAATAAAATCCTTTACAGACAAGCAATGCAGAGGGATTTTATCACCACCAGGCCTGTCTTACAAGAGCTCCTGAAGGAAGCAGTAAATATGGAAAGGAAAAACCAGTACCAGCCACTGCAAAAACAAACCAAAATGTAAAGACCATCAACACTATGAAGAAACTGCATCAACTAATGGGCAAAATAACCAGCTAGCATCATAATGACAGGATCAAATTCACACATAACAATATTAACCTTAAATGTAAACAGGCTAAATGCCCCAATTAAAAGGCACAGACTGGCAAATTGGATAGAGTCAAGACCCATCAGTGTGCTGTATTCAGGAGACCCATCTCACGTGCAAAGACACACATAGGCCCAAAATAAAGGGATGGAGGAAGATTTACCAAGCAAATGGAAAGCAAAAAAAAAAAAAAGAAAAAAGCAGAGTTTGCAATTCTAGTCTCTGATAAAACAGACTGTAAACCAACAAAGATCAAAAAATTCAAAGAAGGGCATTACATAATGGTAAAGGGATCAATGCAACAAGAAGAGCTAACTATCCTAAATATATATGCACCCAATACAGGAGCACCCAGATTCATAAAGCAAGTTCTTAGAGACCTATAAAGAGACTTAGACTCCCATACAATAATAGTGGGAGACCTTAACACCCCACTGTCAATATTAGACTGATCAACAAGACAGAAAATTAACAAGGATATTCAGGACTTGAACTCAGCTCTGGACCATGCAGACCTAATAGACATCTACAGAACTCTCCACCCCAAATCAATGGAATATACATTCTTCTCAGCACCCCATAGCACTTGACTATCTCTTTTAAACTAGACTATATGTATTTCATTTCTGTGTATTGAGAAAATAAATAATATTAATTGATACACTGATAACTAGCAGTGTTTTTAGAGCAATAAAAGTAAAATCTTACAAATCATATCTCATTAGCTTAGTGGCTGTGATTACATGCTGGGCAGTCAATTTCATAAATTCAAATGTGTTCTCTCTCAGCATATGATAGTCTGTCACATTTTGAAATGGTTGAGTTTTTAGCATTCCTGCTAATATTTGGCATTTTGTGTGATTTCCTTGCAGATGTTGCAATACAGCTTTAATTTTTAACTTAGAGTGACAGAAAATAATTTTTATATAAGAGTGTCATTGCAGGCAAAATTTCTGAAATTCATGTTTTTAAAAAATTGTGCTTTTTTAGTTCTAATATTTCAATGTTTATGTCTAATTTAATATCTATATTGTTAAATTGCATCAGTATATTACTGAATTAAGAAATCATTTTTGTCTGTTTATTCTCAATAAGGACACGTATAGTGATTTGGGGAAGACAATGTCCTAATTATTTGTAAAAGTAATTTGAAACAAAAGGTATAGAAAAACACATAGAATGCATTGTTAGGAAGCTTGGCTCTAACCGAGACTTTCAAGGATGTTCATACAATAGTCTGATGTTTTAAAATTGGAAGTCTTTTATTTTGTAAATATTTTTAAAATTTTTGTGGGTACATAGTAAGTGTTTGTATTAAGTCTTTTCAATATAATGAGATAAAAAGCATAAAAAGGTTTGAGAAAGTGTGGAAAACATCAACCTCAGGCCAACCTACTCTCAATGTTTTTTTTCATATAAACATAATGGTAATTCCATTAACATGGAAGCTAGGTACTTGGTCACAGGAAAGACAATGCTACCCATACAGTATTAAATTTGATGTAATGAAAGTGATAAAAATATTCCTTCAAGGAGATGGAAAATACATGAATAAGCTTTAAGAAGCTCAAATTGAAGAAAATATAATTGAAGAATAAATTGTAGAATTCTGCATGATTTCCAATGCTATGGAAGCCTGCAATTTAAAATCAAGACAAGAAAATAGTCACATTTACTTCTTTTTCTAGTTATGTTGAATGACTTTCATTCAACTGTAAATTCTACCCTCACAACCTGCAGCATCTATATTATGCAGCTGTTTTAATGGGTGCCTCATGGATTTTCATTAACATATTCAGTCAATTAACAGATGCTTTGTAAATTATCTTTCCATTTTATTCTACTTCTCTTCTTTCCCCATGAAATTATTTGCTGTGGCATCCCTCCATAGGAAATAATGATTTGTCACCAGGGCTCCACAGTGGTCTTGAGTTGTGCAGAATAATTAAGGCACTGAGACTGCCTTTAGTTTCATTCATGAGTATGTAGAATATCTCCCTTATCCTCAGCCACCTGTATTTGACACAATCATGGACAACAAAAGAGGAGGGCTACTGACCCACTACTACAGAGATACTGTAAATGAAAACAGTAAAAGCAGTAGCTTCTATTGCTCTGTGTTTAGTTTGTTTGTTTGTTTGTTTTTGAGAAGGAGTTTTGCTCTTGTTGCCCAGGCTGGAGTGCAATGGCACGATCTTGGCTCAACCCAACCTGTCTGGGTTCAAGCGATTCTCCTGCCTCAGGCTCCTGAGTGGCTGGGATTACAGGCACACACCACCACGCTCAACTAATTTTGTATTTTTAGTAGAGACGGGGTTTCTCCATGTTGTTCAAGTTGGTCTCAAACTCCCGACCTCAGGTGATCCACCCGCCTTGGCCTCCCAAAGTGCTGGGGTTACAGGTGTGAGCCACCTCACCCAGCCTGCTCTCTTTTACTCTTGATCTCACTCTTCCATTTTATCTTCTTTTCTAATCAGTAATTGAGAGAACTGAGCAGTGCAGGGCTTGGAAGCTAACCTCAAGCTGTCTTCTCAGTCTTCTGTAATCCTATAACCTACATTTTTTTTTCACCAAAATCTTATTGGTTTTGTTTTCCAATGTATTGAATCTTCTCTTAAAAAATTACTTTTTCTAAAATTGTATTTCACTTTTCCTATGTTGTGGAAATCTTTATATTTGAAAAGCTGTGATGAATCAAATAATCAATTACTTATTGTGTCTTCACAATATATTTATCACTGTGTAGTGGATTTTGAAAATGTAAGAGAAGGACAATGTCCCTGTTGACAAATAGCTTACAATGCACACTGAGAAAGAAGCGGAAAATAGGCATAACTATTAAAATCACATAGTATTCAACATCTGCAGTTTATACAAAAATTAATCACTATAAATGAGATGTAAATTGTCAATTATAAACCATAACTTTCATAATATTGAAACTATTATACATGAGAGACAAATTTTAAATCATAATTTAAAAAACTATTACAAATAAAAATATAATGATTGAAAGTATGAAAGATGGTTTTGCAAAATAAATAACATTTAATTGTAAGATGATGGCTTAATAGAATATAGATGGTTTCTATTTAGAGATAGAAGAAGCATAGAATAATTCAGAAACTTCCAAGAATATGTATGTCATTAGTACGTAAATAATTCACTGAGTTTTGGCAAAAAATAAAAAAAAAAAAGAAGCATTGATTCTTAGTGAGTCAATCAATATATTCTATGGGGAAAAAAAGACCCGTGATAGCCTTCTTTCTTCAGGAGGATAAGGGCAAAAATATTTGCCAACCACTTTGAAGAAACAGGACAATTTACCGTGGTTGCCTTGAGAAACCAGCTAATGACTTCCATAAGTGTCCTTTGTGTGAAATGAAGACTTTAATATGACATGACAAGGCTCCAAAAAAATACTAACATATTAACTGTGCCAATTTAATTATACTAGAAGGACAAGTTTGGTACAGTCCTAGACTACTATCTTAGAAAGCTGAAGTTGGAATGTCTTAATCTGTTCACAGAGGTACAGCAAAAGTGGTTTTTACTTTGAGTTAACACTGAGGGTCCCAGCTTTAATAGCATATTATTTATTTTCTATTAATTATTTTGTATATCATATAGTTAATGTACTAGAGCAAAGAAAAATTCATTTTTGAAAAGTTAATTTGAAAATACACTCTCTTATTTGAATGGTTTACTCTCTTTAAAATATATTTTAAATGGTAAAATTGCTCTTTCTGTGAAAATAAAATTGTGAAAATAAGTTCTACATACAGACTAAAATTCTTAGTATTTTTAAAGTTATGCTATCAGTAGGTATAATTAAAACACATAAGATCTAAGGATTATGTAGTCATAAGTATACATAATTGTATATCTTATAGCTTTAATCTCATGTTAACATTTACAATAATCATTGTTGCTTTTAAATTTTAAGTAATTGAGATTAGTACAAAACCAAGTGATTTTATTTTGATAAAAAATAATTTGTTACATCTTAAACTACTAATATTTTCTAAACTATAACTTTATTCTATGTATCAAATTGACTAATTTCTAATTTGAAAATTCTGAAATTAAGTAAAATAAATTATAGTGTATTACATTCTAAAATTTTGATCTGAATGCCAAAATTTCCCAGTTTTGAATTAGTTCTTCATAACTTTCTAAGTAATTAGCATTTTTTTAAATCTCAGAATTCATTGGTACTTGTTTGTCTTATTTTATATATTGTGATTTGTAGAGATGATATATTAATCAACAATATGCACAAATAAATTATTATATCATCATATAAGTATATTTTTATTAGATATTAAAGTAATCTTTATGTTTTTTATTAGTTTTGTGAATGCTTGTAAATAGTTCAGTTGGTTCTGGAAATTAATCTGTGATGGCCAAACATTGGTAATTGCAATAAATTTACTCTGTGTTGTAGGCTAAAACATGATGTCCTAAAAGTTGTACATCAAATTCCTGGAAACTTGTTTCGAAAAAAAAGGTTTTTGTAAATGTGATTACATTAACAATCTTGAAATGTGGAGATAATTCTAGATTATCTGGTGGTCCCTATACTCAATGACAAGTGTTCTTATAAGAAAAAGGCAGAGGAGGATTTGAAATAAGCAGAATGCAGAAGACACAGAAAGGAAGAGGAGGCAACATGATCCTGGAGTCAGGATTGGAGTGTTGTGGCTGTAAACCAAGGAGCCAGGAACCACATAGAAACTAGAAGATGCAGAGGTTGAATTTCCTCCTGGAACCTCTGCAGAAGTACAACGCTGCTGACACCTTAATTCCAGAAATCTGGCCTCCAATACTGTGAGAATATATTTATGTGGTTTTAAGTCACCAAGCTTATGGTAATTTGTAATGGAAACCATAGGAAACAAATACATTATCTAAAATATCAAAGTTGATTATTTTCAAGTAACCTAATAACCTATTGTTTCATTTCTTTCAGAAATTCTTACTATAGTACTTTAGGGAGCAAAATCCACATCAGAAATTTATATAATACCAAAATGGATGACTTCCAGCAGTAAGACAATACTCTATTTCCAGGTAAATATTAAAGCTTTTATTCTTTCAAGCAGAGCTTCTCAACCTTGACATTATGAACCCTTTCAGCAGAGAAGATAATTCTCCATTGTTGGATGTCCCATGCACTGTAGGCTTTTTAGCAGCATCCTTGGCCTCCATCCATTGGGTGCCAGTGGCAATGTTCACTTGCAACAGTCAAAAAAGTCTCCAGATGCTGTCAAACATCCATTGATGTGTAAATGCTCCCCTAATTAAAGAGAACCATAAAAACATTACTGACAGTGTACCTAGTATTTGGGACAAATTTCTTAGTAACTTTATCTTTTGAATATTTTATTGTCCAAAAAGGGAACAACATCATCTATGAATGTCATTTTCTTCAATGTGACCTTAACAAGCCTACCTTAGAGATCTGGGGTCAGTGTTTCATCTTGTGTGTATGGGTAGATTTGTGACTACAGTGGAAGTGAAGCTCTGTGACTTTCAAAGCTATTTTATAAGAGACAATACATCTTCTTCTTAATTCTCTTGAAATGTTTGGCTTTGGAAACCAGCCATCATCCTTTGAAGAAACTCAGGCATCCTATAGACAAGCACGTGGAGAGGAAGCAAAACCCCCAGTTTCCAGTCCCAGCGGAAGTGCCTGGTGACCTTCAGCCCTATTTGACAGCCATATGATTGAGCCATCTCAAAAGTAGATGTTCTGGCCCTCAGTTGAATGACAGCAGCTGATGCCACCTGCATCAGGGATTTTCTGTCCTACCAAGCTCTCTCCAATTGCATTTTTGTGAGCAAAATAACTCATTTTTACGAGTTTAAACTGCCAAATTTTGAGGTGCATTGTTATGTAGTGATAGATAACAAGATCATTATCCCAGTATCCTAAAATACTCAATAAAAAGAGAGGAGCTTTTGAGGAAGACTTCTCAAATATCTGATTTGATTTTCTCCTTTCTTACTAGCTTTCTTGCTCCTTCCCTTCCTCCTTTTCTTCCTCCCTTTCTTTTTTCCTTTGCTACTTTCCTTTTCTTTCAAGTTTTACAGGTTTATCTTATACATTGTTGAATACTGATTAGATTTACTTGTATATTTAAAAGTGGCTTATAATACAGATGACAGTGTTTGCTTTTATGCAACTACAATAAAGTTGTTCAATCAGCTGTAATGCATCCCACTTAATGGAATATTCTGTGCATCATAGTCCTCCTAACATCTTCCACTCATCCTTCAAAACACAAAACAAGTGAAGTCCTTCCTGGGACATCCAATTATAGTTGATTACTCTAATTTTGTACTGCTAAGACATAAATATTACATTATTTGCTGCCTTGTGTTCTCTTTTTCTTGTACATAGACATGGAACTTGAGAATGGAGAGTTCATTGCATTATGTCTTTACATTCTGGGTTCAATACAATGTCAGATCTGTAATAAATGTTGAATAATTGAGCTTGTTATTTGCCAAGTTGAACATTGGAGAACTGTTCATAAAAATCGTGTGTGGTATGAATGTGAATGAGTATAATAATAACTTAATGTAAGTCGAAGTCATATAATTGGAAAGGTTGTGATTACCAAGGTAGTAGGAAAATATAATGAATGAATGACAAACTGCATAGGGTTTACCCAGTAAGAAATTTTGCATTTCCAGATCATTACTCATGTGATGAATAGCAAGGATAAACATAAAACTGCAATTATGCAATTATGCTTGAAATAAAATCATGTGTGTATATTTACATAGTATCAACTAAAGCAAATGTTGCTATTCAAAATATTGTGAAAATTTTGAGACAAAGTGAATTTAGAAAACACTAGAAGTAAATAAATCCAGGTGCTAAAATAAATAGCATGAATTAACAAAACCTAGAGAAAGATTTTAGGAAAATGTCTATTTTTAAAAAAGATACATGTCTATGCATTTATTTACCTGTGATTATATATAGTTTGAGTCTAAAATCTAAGAATAACTTTTTTTCCTGGGATGTTCATGAAAAGATACAAAAATCCAATCATTCAGTGATCAATATAATATGTATATTTATAATTATCTCAAGACTTGGACTTGGGATATTGTGTTATTTAAAAAGTCTCTTCATTTCTTCCTTTCTGGCTTTTTATTTAATTTTTTGATAATCAAATACTTAAGAATTTTACAAATACTATATTACATTGAGACTTAATAAAATTACAAGTGAAAAATAAACAAAAAGTTTAATTAAACATACACATTTTGTCTCTAGGAAAACAAGTGGTCTTTGAAAAATGTCAAATTAAGTTGTTATGTTGATTGGTTATGTTATGATGACCTAAGTGGCCTCTTACAATACATAATTTCCAGAGTAAAGCAAAAATATATAATTTATAAATTTTATCACATTAAATTTCACATTTTCATAAATAATTCATTGTATGATTTTAATTTGTTATATACAATAATACATAAACATTATTTTTATAAGCAAATTACAGAGTTCAACAATGCCAAATTATTTCCCCCTTGTGATAATGCCCATTAACTAATTTTAAGCTATTGACTAGCTGGCTGATTTAAAGTATATGACTTTAAAAGACACTTCTGAAATCTGTACCCCCACTCAAATTAGCATTTGTTACATGCTTGTGCTCTTACAATTTCTTTGTTTGGTAAACTGCATCCTATTTAGAAGACCTCATGCTTGACATAGTATTGAATGTATATTTTGTTGATTTTCAAAGGCTCACAGCTGGGATGCTATTCATAAGTAAGCTGAAAGAAAATACTGCTACTCAACATCATGCAGCATTTTTGAGATTCACAATAGTATGTAAATTTTAAGTAATTATTACTCATAAAAATCATAAAAATGCTATTTTCTCTTTCCAGATGGACAAATAATCTTAGACCATAAATTGGAGAAATAACTTAAAATGAATCACTTAATGTCTTTTTGTTTATTACTACTTTTTAAAACCTCTCTCATTATCTATTCTTACTTTATCAGGAAATCAAACACACACCTGAATTCTTAAATAATGAAATGAAATATCTGAATCTTTAAAGTATAAGCTTTTTATTGTTCTTTATTACCACCATTTTCATCTTTTTAAAGAAAGGCATCAACTTAAATATATTATAATAGCACTGAATTGATCCAATTAATTATAACATGGAATGATGAAAAAAAAATCATGTTCTAATTTTGTTGTTTTGTTAGATCCTTTAGAGATCTGAAGACATACCCTCACCCTACAACCCACCATATGCTTATGGATTTTTTTTTTTTTTTTAGTTTCTGGTTTAGGAAATAAGAGGAAAATAATTGCAATTACTGTTATTTCTCAAATGTACTGCACTCATCTCTGTATGGACATTATGAATTTATTTCAATGGAATTCAAACATCTTTTTTTTCCAGTAGATGTAATATGAAATGCTTGCAATTCTGTTTTAAATGTTTTCTTAAGCTTTCTGTTTAATGTTATATTAAATAAGTCCGTGTATTGAATGAAGGCTTTTCTAGTGAGATATTAAAATTACGATTGATTGTTAACAATTCCAATCTAATCTACTCCAGGAGAAGTTGATTGAAAGAAACAGAACTCCCTGCTTTGAAGTAGACACCTAGTGTGGGAAAAACAGTGCGTGTCTATACTGAATAAACTACATACTCCACCATAAAAATGAAAAGGAATCCATAGCTGAAATTTTTATGAAAAATGCAACAAAAATATCACAGTATCATAATAATATTGTATAATATTATTTTGTATAGCGAATACTGAGGATTCATTTGCCTCTTTTGGACTAGTCCCTATGTGTCATGGTGTCCTGAAACTTAAGCCTCATTGCCTATTGAAAATATAATACTATACTAGCACTACAAGGGGATTCATTCCTCGTATTCAAAAGTGCCTAGATGTTTGCTCAAGAAAGATAAGTCCCATCTACCATCTACAATCCATATAACAACATATAAAGCTCAAAAATTAACTGGAGAGCTAACCCAGCCTTCTCCAGATTGCCTACTGATCTTATAATCTGCCATTTCTTTAGATTCTAAGCAGCTTGCTATGCTTCTCGGACATATCTTTTCAGCTATGTTATAATGAGTAAGAGTAAAGGCTGGTCACTTTAACTGCCAGTATATAGAAGTCACTAACTAAAATGGTTTTAAAGACTAGGCACTTGCTTTCATATACCAGGAACAAAGGGTGGGAATCATCATATCTTAAGAAGTTAAGATTTTGCCACTGAATATTGACACTTTTTTATTCGGTGTTACTATTGTACATCCTAATATCTTGGTACAAGAATTATAATAGGAGTGCTTACAAAAGGAATTAACATATTTTAGGCAAGAGCAAATAAGAAATACTTTTCAAAATTAGTTCTCAAAGTATATTTTCTTTGGTTCTGAGGGTTTTTCATCCAAATATATGTATCTTTTAAAATGGTTTACTATAAAAATATTTAAAATTGGTTTAATTTTTCTGTTTTACGACTTGTTTAGTTTGTTACTTTGAATCAATGACTTACATATTCTAGTATTCACCACTATACCTCAATGGGGGAAAAACTGAACTCACCAAAAAGAAAACACTAGATTTCAACAATCAAAAAAGATGTATTTCTGTATGTGCGTATGTGTTTATATGTATATATGTGCAGCTACAGAGAGATAGGTTATAAGTATGTGAGTGGAAGGATAAGTGGGTATGTATGTGTTTGCTTACGGCAATTATTCTAGAGTTCCTTCTTTTAGACTAAGGAAATCCCTAGGTGATTCATTTGCAATAGGACAGCATTTCCTGAAAGTTACACTCAAGAATACTAGTTCCAGGGGATATATATATATATATCCAAATCATTTGTGACTTAATCACAATTTGGGAACAAAAGAAAATATTTTACTAGGCACTTCATATCACATATAATGAATTTGGATCATTTGTCATTTAAATAAAAAATAAGGAATATTTCAATAGGAAAAATGTTACCTATGTTTCCAGTGATGACAGATAAGAACAGGAGATATTAGCAAATAATAATTACATATAGAGGCAGGGTACAGTAGCACATACCTGTAATCACAGCCCTTTGGGAAGCTGAGGTGGGCGGATCACTGGAGCCCAACCTAGGCAACATAGCAAGACCCTATCTCTACAAAAAAATAAATAAAAATTAGCCATGTGTGGTGGTGCATGCCTATAGTCTCAGCTACATAGGAGACAGGCAGAAGAATTGGTTGATCCCAGAGGTAGAAGCTGTGGTGGGCAATAATGGTGCTACTGCACTCACCTGTGAGTGACAGAGCAAGAGCCTGTCTCAAAAAAAAAAAAAAATGTATATATATATATATATATATTTTTTTTTTTAACTGCACACTCTTTCAATACCTGCTTGCCCACATAAGAATAGATGTTGGGCCTGGAATAGCTGCTTACCAAGAGATAAAGAGCCTGCACAGCCTGTGCTAGACTTACCATATTTTGTGAAGATCTTTCCCAATACAGATTTTAAAAATATATTTAAAATATATTTAAAAATATATACATACATATATAGAGAGATTTTTATTTTCTAAAGGTGTAAAAGAGTAAGGACAAAAAAAAGTTAAGAGTGGGCTGGGTACGGTGGCTGACACTTGTAATTTTGCCAACTCAGGAGTGCAAGGAGGTTGGCTTCAGACCAGGAGTTCAAGACCAGCTTGTGCAACAGAGCTGAGACTGTTTCAAAAAATAAAAAAGAATGTGATTGAAATGAATGGTACAGACAGGATTTTAAAGGTGGTATAATAGTATAATACGTTGAGATTACTTTCAGGCATACAAATTGTTTATTAGCCTAAAACAAAGAATTATGAACAAGGAATATTTTGTATATTCTTTTCCAACTTTAAATGCATAGTCATTAATATCACTTTTTCAAAGTTTTTTTAAAAACAATGTTACTTAGATGTTCAATATAGTTTTCATAGATAATAAAAGGCAAATGCTGGAAAGGAATGGATTTTAGTGCTCCAGTAGCGGAGTAATAAAACATCAGTCTTAGTGCATATTTTCATTTTTTATTTTAAAGACATTCATCTATGTTATGAGTTTTTAAATGGCCAATCACTTTTATGTGTAATGTCACAATATTTTTTATCCAGGAAATATATATAACTTTTCTTGGCTATTTAAATACGTTCCAAGCAGTTCATAAAAGTACTTCAAGAAAAATTATAATTTTATTTCAATATGTATTAGGTTGTCATTCATGGTTCCAGGAAAGGAGTTATGCTCACTCTCATGCTATAAAATACATAGACATTCATCTTAGCTTCTAGAAGCAATAAGAATAGAAAGACCTCCAAGTTTACCAAACTCTACATAATCAGAAAGTAGTTATCTAAAAATTGTCTGCAAATAACTAAAAAATGTTGATAAAGAAAATCATATTGACTAATCTGATGTTTAGCCCGTATTAGTACAATTTTTATTTTTTTTAATTTTTTATTTTATTTCTTTTTTGCATAAACAGAAATCCTAATGTTGTAATAGCAACACTTCAAATAGCACTTAAGCTCCGCCCCTGGAGGAAGTGCAGGAATACGTAAACCCAGCACTATAACTGGAGGAGGGTAAAAACCACATCTCCAGGACCCCGGTTCCCAGAGCGAGCGGGTCTAGGATTTGACTTAATCAGGACATATGTGAATGCTCCTCTACCACACCCCATCACAATGCTAACAAACCTACAGTAAAACTAAACATAAAATATGTTGAGAAGGGCGTCTCACGTGCACACTCTTTCAATACCTGCTTGCCCACATAAGAATAGATGTTGGGCCTGGAATAGTTGCTTACCAAGAGACAAAAGGCCTGCACAGCCTGTGCTAGACTTCTCATATTTTGTGAAGATATCTTTCCCAATACAGACTTAAATGAATATTACTTTGACACACATGGCCAAGCGTGTATGTCAGTGGCCCTCAGATATGCCCCCAACTTTTAGTATTTCAGACTCTACGGGGGCAGGGAGAAAGGAAAAGGGGTCCTTCTGCTGCAGCAAGAGACGTGTATGCATAGGCCTATTGCTGACCTTGCTCTGTGTCTTTCCTATGTGAAGCATTGTCAATCCAGTGCTTGACTGCCTTGTATTGTCCTTGGTGACTTTAATAGCAACATGTTAATATAGTATAGTGAATTTAATACCAAGATAGTAGGCATAAGTGTTTAGATTTCTATTTCTGATAGTTTGCTTAGTGATAATTGTTGCTATCCTGCATGTAGTTGGCGTTCTCCTCTGGCATTGGTAATCACTGCATGCTGTTCTGATCCACAAAATAAAGCAGGGATGTCCATAAGAGATAGATTACCTGTATCTATATTTGTATTTGCATCTAATGTATTTAATTCGATTTCTATGCTCCTACTCTCTTAAACAACATGTTTGGTTTTCAGCAAAAAAAATATGTGTCACACAAGACACAGTCTGTGTCTGCAAGACAAACACAGTCAAAAGATGTAAATCAATTTCAAATACATTATACATATGGATGTTTTCAAACAGAGAATTTTAATAAATATCACTGAAATGTTAAAGGCTTTCAGGGAAAGGTTGTTAGACAATTGCAAAATCACATAGGCAATTTAAGTGGAGGAATAACAGTGTAGTCAAGAATCAAATGGAAATACTAGAAATCAAAAATGCAGAAAAAGAAATAAAAAATGTCTTTAATGGGCTTGTCATTAGACTCAACACTGCTGAGCAAAGAATTAGTGAAGTAGGCTGGGTGCAGTGGCTCAAGCCAGTAATCCCAGCACTTTGGGAGGCCGAGGCAGGCCAACATGGTGAAACCCTGTCTCTACTAAAAAAATACAAAAAAATTAGTTGGGTGTGGTGGCAGGTGCCTGTAATCCCAGCTACCTGGGAGGCTGAGGCAGGAGAATCGCTTGAACCCAGGAGGCAGAGGTTGCAGTGAGCCGAGATCGTTCCACCGCACTCCAGCCTGGGCGACAGAGCGAGACTCCGTCTCAAAAAAAAAAAAACAAGTTAGTGAACTGAAGGAAAGGTGAAGACAAATTACCTATATAGGAATACAAAGAGGCCTGTAATCCGAGCACTTTGGGAGGCCGAGGCGGGCAGATCACAAGGTCAAGAGATTGAGACCATCCTGGCTAGCATGGTGAAACTCCATCTCCACTAAAATAAAAAAATAAAATAAAATTAGCTGGGTGTGGTGGTGCATGCCTGTAGTCCCAGCTACTTGGGAGGCTGAGGCAGGAAAATCACTTGAACCTGGGAGGTGGAGGTTGCAGTAAGCTGAGATCGTGCTACTGCACTCCAGCCTGGCGACAGAGTGAGACTCCATTTCAAAAAAAAAAGAAAAAGAAATCCAAAGAGAATAAAACATAGGTTTAAAGAGTTGTGGGACAATGTCAGGCACTCTAGGACATATGTAATTGAAATCTCAGAAGACAAGAATGAAGCAGAAAAAATGTTTGAAAAAATTAATCTAAAACTTTTTCCAAAGTTAGTGGTGAACATCAAAATACAGTTGTGAGAAACACAGAGAACAATGAACAGGGTAAAGACCACCAAAAACACCATACATACATATATACATCCCATTCAAATTGCTGAATAGCAAAGATAAAATCTTAAAAGCAGCCAGATAAAAATACACATGTCTATAGTGTAGGACAGATAAGAATTATAGCAGACTTCTCTCCAGAAAACTTGCAAGCAAGAAGATTAAGGCAAAAACTTTTTAAAATGCTAAAAGGAAAAAAAAAAAAGTCAATCCAGAAATTTACATCCATGAAAGTGTCCTTTAAAATGAAGGAGAAATAAAGACTTCATCAGAACAACTAAAATAGGGAATTCTTTGCTCGTGTAACCACCAAAGTTTCCAGTTGCTCGCCGCTTGTAGAAAGAAGCCAGAATAACAAGAGTGAGGTGTGATAAACAGAAAGCAATATTTTATTATGCATGCTAAAAAGAGGGAGGAGTGGGTGAAACGCTTCCCCAAAATTTCCACTCTTAAATTTGTGGAGGGAACACAGAGGTTGTGAAAGAGAAGGTTTGGAGTGCAGAAGAGGCAGGGGGCTGGGAGGTGTCAGGTGTCGTGACCCATTCCAGTGGCTTGTCTTGAATTATTTTTCCATCTGGTGAAGGGGCCAGTGCTGTTGTGGCCAGAGGTGTTTGGTTCATATCAGAATCTGGCCCCCGAAGCTCCTAAGGAAATGTACGACCCAATAAGTGAGTATGGTGTGTGCTTAACAAGTATCCAGGTAAATAACTGTGCATAAGGCATGGGAGCACAGAATGGTAAATAAAACGGAGTGGAGGTTCACAGTGCATTCCCAGGCTGTATTTCAAGATGAAAGGATACACATACGCAGTTTGTCTCAAAGTTATGTCTTGAGATTGGGAAGAGAGGAGGAAAGAAAAAAAGCTGTAAAACGTGATTTGAAGCCAAGCTTCTCGGTTACACTTGCAAACCTACTCTAAAAGAAAGGTCAAAAAATGAACTTAGAAGGAATATAGATCTAGGGTAGAAATTTGGATCTACAAAAAAATCATCACTGGAAATAAAAAAATGAATTCAAAATAAAATTCATCTGTTTCCTTCTTTTTAACTGCACTAAAAGACTGAATCAAAAATAGCAATCTATTTAGTCCTTTTAGAATATGTAAAAACACGAAAATAGCACAAAAGATGGGAAAGAAAACTAGGAATACGTATACTCTTACAAGGTTCTTATACTGCATATGAAGCGGTACAATATTTATTATATGATGGTAGACTCAGATTATGTAAAATGTAGGTTGTATACCCAAGAGCAAACCCTAAAAATATTTTTAAAAGGTATGAATAATAAGTCAATAAAGGCAATAATATGGAATCATAGCACATGCTCTGTTAAACAGAGAAGGCCAAAAAGGAGCAAAAAAGAACCTATGGAATAAACAGAAAATGACTCAGCAAGATGATACATTTTAATTCAGCCATTTCAATGATCACTTTAGCTATGATTAGTCTAAATGTACCAGTTAAAGTGTATTTTTCTGATATCTGAAGTTATCAGATAAAAAACCGAGATGAACTTAATGCTGTGTATAAGAAATTGTGTTAAATATAAATATAAGAGAAAAGTGATTGCTGGTTTGCTGTGGTGCCCCAAAGGGGAATTTTTAAGGTGATAAACTTTCTGTATGATACTGAAGTAGTGGATTCATGACTATGCAAATCCCATAGAATGTATACCACAAGAATGATATTTTTTGTATGCACATTAAAGAATGTCAAGCAGGATGTTGTGGGATCCCAGAACAGAATATGCAAAGTGACAAATTAATTTAAATCTATTACATCCTATAGAAAGCAAGATCAGGCATTAAAAATTCATTCTCAGTGAAACAGAACTTCTGAACAAGATAAATAAATATGTCAATTAAAAATAATATAAACTAGAGCCTTTACATACACTAAAAACCATCACAAAAAATTTTCTGGGGACTGCAGACCAAAAAACACGATTTTTTCCTATCAAATAATTCAGTAGAACAATCAAAGCAGAAAATGGTAGTGCTCACAACCCGAAGAAGAACCTGGAAGACCAAATGGAAGAAATAATTCAATCTCATAAAAAATTAAAAAATAATTTAGGTCAAACAAATATTGTTAAACAAAACACACAAAAAAGTTAAAAATCATGATGGAAAAGCTATTTCGAGGATTGATTCAGGATGGTAGCCTATAAAATACAAATTCCTAAAAGAAGAAATGGAGGATATGAAGGTGAGACAAAAATTAAGTGAAAAATAGTAGAAAAAAAAACCCCTCTCTATTGGAAGTATGTGGGCATTAATAAAACTAAAAGCTGGTACAAAAACAGAGAAAAATCAAAATGTTAGAAAGGATAAAGTTAAAGCTTGAAACTAGGAAAAGCCCTAGAGACCTTATTAGAAAATAAAGGGAGAATAATAAATGGACGACCTTGGTAATAATTACATAGCATAATGACAGATAAAGGAGAGAGTAAAGTATTTCCAGTAACTTTATGACAACTGAGTTGACAAGCAAAAAGATATAAATAATTTCCTAACAATATGTTCAATTCCAAAAATAATGTCCCACAATTTTGTTCTTTTTCACAAGGCTTTGACACCTTTTTATTCTACCTCCAAATCTTTTTTCCATCCTTCTTAGTTGATAACCTTGCTTCCTACTTCATTTAAAAAAGGGAAACCTCAGATGATAGCTATCACAAACTCCCATTGTCCTCCTTTTCTGCCTATTCCTCTTCTACATGACCTCTTGGAGATAGAATGACTCAGGCATACACAACCATAAAATCTAGTTGAATAATGATCACATATTAACACCACTTAAATAAATAAATGTATTAGGATTTTCTGGATCACAAAATACATTTGAATAAAAATGGTAAGATTCAGAAAAATAATTACTTTTATCTTAGAATTACTAGCAACCAGTTTGAAACTGTCATAAATGAAATAACAGCTACAATTTACTTGTAGTATATGGTTGTAACATAATATGTCCTTTACAACCATACAGTACTAAAAGTAGTACTGAAACTACTTTTATTCTGTTTATCTCTTAGATCTCTTTTATCTCTTAGGTTATCTAAAAGATAAACAGGAAAAAAAGTAGTTTTAGTACTAACAGATAAACAGAAAAAAAGAAAAAAGTTTTAGGAGTAAGAAATAAAATAGTTTTGAAAATGTTTCTGTAAATTGATTTAAAAGATGCTTCAAAAAAGCATATGTAAGTATATATCATTTTACATAAATGCCTATAATTGATCATATCTTACACATTTTAGGTTAGTCTTTTACTCCTTTATTTTCTTGTTTCTACCTGATCTCCCCTTTTCCATTTTTCTATCCATATCTGTTTTTTATTACTAATTACCACATTTTCAACCTGATTTTTATCCTTCATATTTTCTCCATACACATAATCATAAATTCAAACATAGACACAAACAATAATAGGAAATAATTTATGCTAATTGTACCAGATTCCGTTCTACATATATTACAAATATTACCTCCTTTTATGTTTAGGATAAATCTATATCCTGCTACCTTTGAGATGGAGAAACTGAGGTATAAAGAGGTGAAGTAACTTACCTACAGGCACACAGATGGTAAACTAGATTTAATATTCAAATCTAAGGCATCTGTGTCCAGAATCCATGTTCTTCAATACCATTCTGTAATGGTATAACTACCTTTCATGACCTCCTAACCCAGTGGAAACCTGAAGTATTCAATCTTCTACCATAATACATTCAAAATTTGTTGTCATTGTTCTTATGCTAATGTGTAAAAAATAACTAGGGAAATTCTTTAACCAAATTGTACATTTTGTTAGGTTAATTAAATGTACTTTAAGAGGAAAAGGAGGTATTATTTTTAGTAGAAGGGAAAATCACTAATGAGATAAATAAAATATTTATAGAGTTTGTATTAAACTGTCTTATTTAATTGTCTTCACTGACTTGACTAATTTTGTCTCTGGAACATTACACTCTAAATTGTTATTATTTTTAGTGACTCTTAAATAAGGCATTCTGATGAGTGAAATTTGGCAACCAGCAAGAATAAATAAGCACAAGTATCTTTATATATTTAAACCATGTTGATGGGTTTCTGATATATAAATTTAGCTTTACACTTTGGGTAAATAACACAGAGTAAATTTGCTGTTAATCCAAAAGTATATACACAGACACACACAATATATGCTATCAGGTCAAGAAAAATTTGGGGAATAGTAAGATAATTTAATTATTTTAAATTAGATTTTTTAGCAACTATGCCGCAGACTCTCTGATTTGAAATGGGCAATATAGGACATTCTAATGTACCTAGATTTTTCTATTTGCAAACTAATGTAGTATTATTTGGAAATTTCAAGATGTTCTGGTAAGCTAATTAATTTCTTTGTAATCACACATTTGTATGAAAAAAAAATTTCAATCCAGTCACATTTTCATGACACTTCTTTCTAAAAACCAACTTCAAATATTAGGACTATAACTATAAACTGAAGATTTTAAACAATATAAATTTTATTTAATTGCAACATTTTATAAGTAGAAACTAACAGTATTAATATAGTCCTTAAATTTTGGCTTGGATTTTGGTTAAGAACACTCCTTTTGTCTTAGTCAAGAACATTTTATATTCAAGAACTAAAAATTAATCCAAGTTACCCTAAAAGGAGAAGCAAAATAAGATGCACACACCCACACAATAGAGTGAAGTGGAGGAGGAAGTATATAAAGAAGTGAGGTCACCTGAGATACTACAGGTAGAAAGACAATGAGACTTGACATCTAAATTCTCAGACATTCTCTGTGAGATATCTCATCTCGTCTATATCACTATCTTGATAAGCTGGGTTTCTCTTCTTAATCTCATCAGAATATTTCTGCTCCAATATCATAAACAATAGCATTTTTTCTCAAGATTAATACCATTAGGTATTGACTACATTCTCAATCAACAAATCAAATTCCAGGAGAGAACATCTGACTGGCCAAGTTGGTTAATTTATCCACTCAGCTCTTAGGTGTTACCACAGAGTGTCTCATTCATATGATTAAAACATAACTACAGAACCTGCTCCCCACTAAGGATGGTGACAGAAACCACATATGGGCTCTTTCTTAACTATGGCACATATTTAAAATACTCAGAGTTAAAATGCTTTGCAGTATACACTGTGATATATAAGAGGGAAACTAAGTAAGTCAAGAATAAATTTACATCAGATTTTAGAATACATAGAGGAAGAACAATTATCTGTTAGAGAATAATTTAAAATTTTCAGTGAAAGCTTTTTAGAGAAGTCAGAACAAAAGTGAAATTTGAATACCAGTTAACCATGGCAAAGAGGTGGTAGTCACTAGTTAATGACTCACTTTATTTTACATTAAAGGTATTCAATAAATACATTTTGATGCATAGAAATTTTATGAGATTGTATTGCTTAGGAATTTATAGGCTTCTATATTCTCATTCCAATAGGAAACAATTTAAGTTAAAGTGAGCTTAAAGACATCAGAAAACGACCACTAATTAGCCCTAATCTTCTTCGTTATACTTTTGGCTACACATCAAACATAAGTCAGGTAAATAAAATATCTACTCTTGTCTATTTAGCAAAATATAAGAAAGATTTCTGTTTTATATTTTGATTATTTTTTATTTAGGTTTAAATTTATTATTATTAAATTATTACTTAGAGTTAGATTCATTTAGATTTAAAATGTATCCTCAATTTTATGCTGAAACTTATAAAATAAAATTTTTATAAGATAAAATTCATAAAATTTATTTATATACTTTATTTCATATATATTTCATTTTATTTATTTACTTATAAATTTATAAATTTGAGCATAAAATTGAGAATACATTTTAAATCTAGAAAATTAAATTACAAAAATTCAGTAATAAAAACATTTTCTCAGTGAATGAAAATTGTGAATTGGCTCCATCCTGTTCACACCTCATAGGGTTTTAATTAATATTTAATTTTATATCTCCCCCAAATTTTATTTAACATTCTTCCTTTAGTGGTAATTGTATTAGTTCATTTCACACTACTATAAATATATTACCTGAGACTGGGTAATTTACATAGAAAAGAGGTTTAATTGACTCACAGTTCCACATGGGTGGGAGGCCTCATGAAACATGCAATCGTGGTTGAAGGTGAAGGGGAAGAAAGGCACCTCTTACATGGTGGCAGGAGAGACAGAGCTCAAAGGGAAAATTGCTACTTTTAAACTGTCAGATCTCTTGAAATTCCCTCACTATCAGGAGAACAGCATGGGGGATACCATTGCAATGATCCAATCAGCTCCCACCAGGTCCCTCCCTAAAAAAATGGGGATGATAATTCAAGACAAGATTTGGGTGGGAACACAGAACCAAACAAGTCATTTAAAAATTACTCTTTCTGATAAGGAGATAATTACTCCAAATGTATACTTTTCCCCCAAAGGCTTTGTTTTAAAAATGGTAGGCCAGGCGTGGTGGCTCACACCTGTAATCTCAGCACTTTGGGAGGCCGAGGCGGGTGGATCACAAGGTCAGGAATTCAAGACCAGCCTGACCAACATGGTGAAACCCCGTCTCTACTAAAAATACAGAAAAAAAAAATTAGCCGGGCGTGGTAGTGCGCACCTATAATCCCAGCTACTCAGGAGGCTGAGGCAGGAGAATTGCTTGAACCTGGGAGGCAAAGGTTGCAGTGAGCCGAGATCATGTCACTGCACTCCAGCCTGGGCAACAGAGCAAGACTCCATCTCAAAATAAATAAATAATAAATAATGAAATTAATTAATTAATTAAAGCATTTTCCTGGAAAGGGAAAAAATGAATATTCAAAACATAATTAATAGTGGATTTGAAATTGTGCTGGAGAATTGTCTTGCAGATATAGGTCTATATATATATATATATATATATATATATATATATATATATATATATAGACAATTTGAGTTCAAATTGTCTTCAAAATGACCTTTATGTACAACTGGAATATAATATATGTTAACTCAAGCACGTATGCACATGCACACTCCCATTCACAGAGTCAATTTTTGTTTCAAACATGTAAACCACATTTCAAAAAATAGGAACTATTTCCCCTTAAGTATTTTTGTCTTGTTTCATTTGCAAATTTGTTAAAAGCAGATAGAATCTTCCATTTTTTCAATCATGATGATAAAATTTTTGATCAGAGGATTTACCAATTTGAGTCATGTGATTCATTTCATATATATCCTATCAAAATATTATTCCTATCGCTCATCCTGTAAAAATCAAGTCTGAATGAAAAAGTTTTAATCTGTCATGTGGAAATAAGTGTGTGTGTGTTTTTAGTTTCTTCTCAAACAAATAACACATTATACAAATAAAAAATAGTGGTACCTTCTATGATATTTACCTGCTAGATCTAAACCTTCCCATTATACTTAATTCAGTAGGAGTTGAGTACTTTTGTAAATTGTCGTCAGGTCATTTGATTTCTTTATTTCTCTTAAAATAAAGTCTGCATTCATTTACATTTAACACAATTGTAGTGGTTCTGTAATTTAGCTACATAATAATGTCATTGCTGAGCTTTAAGAAATACTAATTATTGTTTCACACTCCCAAAATTTCTCTTTCCATTTATGTTGCATGTTGGCTAACATTAGAGTTCAAAAAATTTCATTAGATGATTCTTGTATGCAGGAAAGTATGAGAATTATTTCACTATGTGGTTCACCACTGAGTAAAATGCATTCATTATAAATATGAACTGTTAACGTTTAATATTTTTAGAACGATTACTCCAATTTTCCAATTAGTGATATCTTTCTGTGTGAAGCAAAGAGAAACATTTTCCTTATGTGTTTTTTAATAAGACCTATATTTGATGTAATTCACATGCCATAAAATTCATCCTTTCAAAGCATAAAATTCAGGTTTTTTTTTTAATTCATAGAGGTAGGCAACCATCACCACTAATTTCAGCATAGTTTCATCACTTCAAAAAGAAACCACATGCCCAGTAGCAGTCTGAATTCCTTCCCCAGCCACCATCCTCTGGCAAACACTAATATACTTTCTATTTCTATGGATTTGCCTATTCAAAATATTTTTTATAAATTATATCATATAACATGTAGCCTTTGTGTTTAGGTTTTTCTTTTATTTAGCATAAGGTTTTAAGATTTATCAGTCTTTTAGTATGTGACAGTACTTCACTTATTTTTATTAATAAATATTTCATTGTACGGATATGCCACTTTTGTTTACCCATTTATTGGTTCATGGACATTTGGGTTGTTTCAGTTTTGACCTGATGAATAAGGTCGCTATGAACATTAATGTACAGGTTTTTGTATGCGCATCTGTTTGTTATTTTGTTCTTTTGATTATACAGCTAAGATTGTAATTGCTCAGTCATATGGTAAACTCTCTGATTTTTTTTCTTTTTTTGGAAGCTCCAAGTTGTTTTCTACCACAGCTAAACCATTTTACATTTCTGCCAGCAATGTATGAAGGTTCCAATATCTCCACTTGCTCTTTAACACTTTTTCTTGCATGCCACTTTTACTTTAGCCATTCTAGTATCTCTAATTATAGATTTGTTTTGCATTTCCTTAATGTCTAATGATGTTGATCAACTTTTTTTGTTTGTTTGTTTGTTTGAGATGGAGTGTCACTCGGTCACCCAGGCTGAAGTGCAATGGCGTGATCTCAGCTCACTGCAACCTCTGCCTCCCAGGTGCAAGTGATTCTTCTGCCTCAGCCTCCTGAGTAGCTGGGACTACAGATGCGCGCCACCATGCCTGGCTAAATTTTTGTATTTTTAGTAGAGACGGGGTTTCACCGTGTTAACCAGGATGGTCTCGAGAGCAAATTTTCGTGTGCTTATTTGTTACTTTTTTTAAGGAATGTCTATTCAAATTCTTTGCCCATTTGTAAAATTGGATTGTGTTTCTGTTTTGAGTGTAAGAGTTTTTTTCTCTTTCTTGATAAAATCCTTATCAGATGTATTATTTGCAAACATTTTATTGTATTCCACAAGTGGTCATTTCTCTTTTTCTATAATATCCTTTCAATTACAAACATTTTTAGTTTTGATGATGTTTAACTTATCTCTATGTTTTTGTCATTTGTACTTTTTGTGTTACATCTAAGAATGCATTGCCCAATCCAAGGTAATACACACACACAAACACACACATGCACCCACACACAGCTGTTGCTCTGTGTTTGTGGGTTCTGCATCCATGGATTCAACCAACCATGAATGGAAAATATTTGAAAAAAATTGCATCTGTACTGAACATGTACAGACTATTTTTTCTTGTCATTATTCTCTAAACAATATAACAAATAATTATATAACATTTACATTGTATCCAGTATTATAAGAAATATAGTAGACAATTTAAAGTATACAGGAGGATGTGCATGGGTTACATGCAAACACTTCCTTCCCCATTTTATGTTAGGGACTTGAGCATCCAAGATTTTGGTACCCACAGGAGGTCCTGGAACCAATCCCTTATGGATACCAATGGGTGACTCTGTATATTTCACAGTTTCTTCATTTATAAATTGATGAACATTTAAATTATTTCCATATCTTGGCTATTTTGAACTGGGTATGCCACTATCTTAACTGAGTGATCAGATTATCACCAAGAGATCAGTCATGCCAATATATACACATTGCCTCCGTAGTAATTTTTAACACATTCTACATCTTTAACATATTCATGAACAAATAAAAAAGACAAACCAAAGTTGAGGGACAGTCTGCAAAATACCTGATTGGATACCTCAAAAGTATTGGGGTCATAAAAGACAAGGGAAGACTAAAGAAACTGTCACATATTGGAGGAGACCAAGGAAACAAGATAACTGAATGCAATGTGGCATATTGGTTTAAATCCTGAACCAGAAAAAAAGACATTATTGGAAAAACTGGTGAAATATGAAGAAAGTTGGCAGTTAATAGTAGCTTACTGATATGATTTGGATGCATCCCCACCCAAATTTTATGTTGAAATGTAATCCCCAATACTAGAGGTGGAGCCTGGTGGAGGTGGTTGGATCATGGGGGTGGTTTCTCATGATTTAACAACATCCCCCCTTGGTACTTTGCTAGCCGTAGTGATTTCTAATGAGATCTGGTTGTTTAAAAGCATGTGTCATCTCTCCTCCTACCCACTGCTTGGTCCTGCTTCTGCCATATAAGATGCCTTCTTCTGCTTTGCCTTCCACCATGAGTAAAAGCTCCCTGAGGCCTCCCCAAAAGCAGATGCTGCCATGCTTCCTGCACAGCCTGCAGGAATTAAACCTCTTTTCTTTATAAATTATCCACTATCGGGTATTTCTTTATAGCAATGTGAGAATAGGCTAACACACATACCAATGTGAAGTTTTTAGTTTTGATGAATATAACCTATATTATATTATGTAATATTTATGTTCTTATGTTAATAATAGAGAAAGCTGAATGAAGAGTAAAAGGGAACACTCTAAACTGTCTTTGTAGTTCTTTGGTAAGTATAAAGTGATTTAAACAAAAACATGAGTAATATATACAGGAATGTATACTCTCAGAATTGTAAAGATTTAATGTGTTCCCAAATATCTTATAAGCATAAGAATTTTAATCCAAAAAACACATCATATAATAGGATTTGTAGTCAAATTTGATAGATTAGTGGCAAAAATTATATGGAAAAGTAAACCCCAAGGCTCTGTTGAAAAAAGAATAGTTAAATGATAGATTGGGTATATAGACAAGTAGATAGATATAGCTACATATATATCATATATGTATATATATTATATATGTATATATTCTATAATAATTGACACTAGAGTATTATTACAGGAGGAGATAATTGTGCATGATTTGGCCGTCCTGACCAATACAACTTTAGCTTATGCCATTGTCTTCTTTATTTCCTACTCTCTTGACACACTGATCTTAAAATTAGTCAGTGATATTTCTATTAACCATGTTTTGTCTTCCTGGAGTAATCTCCACTTCATCTTTTTAAATCCAACTCTTCTGGCTCAAAATAAAAACCTATTGGGATTTTTTTTGACATCTGGCTAGATAAAAACTGACCATCTGTTTTGTAAACTCTATACTTCTTCTTTGTAATACTTACTAAAATGAAAATCTTGTACTTATAAAAATACATATTCTAATGATATGACTCCCTGTATTAGTTTGCTGGGGCTGCTATAACCACAGACGGGGTGGCTTAAACACCAGAAATTTATTTTCTGGAAGCTAGAAGAGCAGTTCTCACAGTTTTGGAGGCTAGAAGGCTCCAAACATGCACCTTTGTCTGCATGTTACATTTCTCTTGAGGCCTCTCTCTTCCACTTGTAGATAGTCTCCTTCTAGCTGTGTCCTCACCTGGTCTTTTCTCTGCGTGTACATTCCTAGTGTTTCTTTGTATATCCAAATTCCCTTTTTTTTTTTTGAGACAGAGTCTTCCTCTGTAGCCCAGGCTGGAGTGCATTGGTGTGATTTCCGCTCACTGCAAGCTGCGCCTCCCGGGTTCACACCATTCTCCTGCCTCAGCCTCCCGAGTAGCTGGGACTACAGGCGCCCACCACCACACCCCTGGTTAATTTTTTTGTACTTTTTAGTAGAGATGGGGTTTCACCCTGTTGGCCAGGATGGTCTCAATTTCCTGATTCCATGATCCAACCGCCTTGGCCTCCCCAAGTGCTGGGATTACAGGTGTGAGCAACCGCACCTGGCCAAATTCCCATTTTTTATAAGGACAGGTCATATTGGATTAGAGCATCACACTAATGGATCCATTTATTTATATTCTGAGGCCCTGAGGTTGGAACTTCAAAGTATTAATTGGGGAGGAGAGAGCATAATTCTCTCCATAGCACTCTCCATTAGATTGGGCTTTATGAAAAGATAGCACATGACTGTCTTTTTTCATATTTTTATATAGTTGCTGAATGAATGAATAAAAAATGTATAAATGAACATTACTCCATATGTGGAAGCAATTTGTGACTTTACTTTTACTTACAATATGGTCTAAATAAAGCTGACTTCCTCAATCTATTAGTGATTGAACAGCTTAAATCAAGTAGGAATATATTCACAATCTAAGAGAGTAATAGTCATTTTGAAGTTGACTATAATATTAATTCACAGTTTTCTCTGTCATTTTCCATTTCATCTACAAAGGGATTTTAAAAAGGAATGTCTTAAAAACAGAAAAATTCAATGTGATTATATTATGCCAACCCATATGTTCTTGAGCTAGGTTTCTGAAGTTGGTGCCTTCAAAGACTAGGTTTACACTCTTCCTGAGCTGTTTCCTTGTTAACAGGCAATCATTTTCCTGACTGAATTTTACATAACAGCTCTTACATAAAAATTGGCTCCTTAAAACTTTTTATATTTGTTTTTAGTTTAAAAAATATAGAAAAGAAAATTGTATTTTAACTGCACACAGGCATGCATTTAAAATAATTTCAAAGCATAATATAATTAAGGAATATATAAATTACATGAATATTGATCTCTGCATGTATTTTCAGTATACTTTTTATTAAAGTATAATATTCACACACTAAAGCATACAAATAATAAGTTCACAGATCAATGCACTTTTGTCAAATAAAATTGCCAATATAACTGGCACCCAAACAAGAAATAAAACCACCTCCCGCTAACGCCTCCACAGGGCAATAACCACCTCCCAAGGTAACACCAATTTTGACTTCTATCTCCACAGACTTTATTCCCTAGAGATTTCAATTTTATACAAGTTATATTATACATTATGGTACTTTTGAGTCTGGCTTTATTTGCAAGCATCCTCTTAGAAAAAGGCTTGTGAATCCATCCATGTTATTGTATGGGCAATAATTTGTATAGTATTCCACTGAGTAGCTGTACTTCCATTCTACTGTTGATGAATATTTGGGTTGTTTCCAGTGTTTATTTTTCCTTATTTGTAATAACTGCTACTATTAGAATTATTGTATATATATTCTGGTATAAGTATATTTCTGTATTGGATTTACCCTGTTACTAGAATTTCTGGGTCATAACGTATGTATATGTTGATAGTAAATTCTGCCAATAGTTTTCCAAAGTGGTTTCAGAAGCTTTCATTTCTGTCTTCTCTCTCTCTCTCTGTCTTCCTCTCTCTCAAGATACTCCACTTTGAAACCCAGCCACTATACTTTGAGAAAGTTAAGAAGTGACGATGTTAGTTGGTCTCACCTGACAGCGTGCATTGACTACTCAATATGAGTGAGAAAACCCTCACATGAATCTCACTTCCAACCTTCATGCCACCCCAGTTCATGCCAAGCAGAGAAGTCCTCACCAAGACCTACTCCAATTAAAGATTGGTAAGCAAAAATAAATACTGCCATTGTTTTGCTCTACTAAGTATTGAGGTGATTCGTTAGGCAAATGATAATCAGAAAGAGGGAAATCTCATTGACTATCCAGATAGCTTTTAGATGATGATAATGAAATTGTGAAAGATTTACAATATGTTTATCATTTGGAACGTATCCCCTTTATCAATCAATCATTTTTTTCCAGAAAATTGATGAGGACTATAAAATCTGTTTTTCATGTTATAAATTAAGAAGACATAATAAAAAGTGAGCATTTATATGTTTTACATTTTTTAATGTTTTGAAAGCAGAAATTAATTCTGCTACATATTCATACATAAAAATTAGCAATTGTGTTAGTGAAGCATTTTATTTCTAAATGTGTTCTCCCTTTTGTGAAGTAAGAAATCTTTGTATTTCTAAAACATACCTTAATTTCAAATTTGTATAACATGTGATTGGTTGAACAGTCTATAGTGTATCTCATAGAATAAAAAAAATGAACTATTTTCAAAACAAATTATACAAATATATCTTTTATGAGGTTGTATTCTAAGAAGGCCTAAACTTTAGCTAAAAATGAACTCTGTCTCTCAAAGGCAGTAAATCAAAAAGAAAAAAAAATCTAGTTTAAAATAAACTTTATTTATTTATTTATTTATTTATTTATTTATTTGAGATGGAGTCTTGCTCTTGTTGCCCAGGCTGGAGTGCAGGGGCACAATATCGGTTCAGTGCAACCTCTGCCTCCCGGGTTCAAGCGATTCTCCTGCCTCAGCCTCCCGAGTAGCTGGGGTCACAGGCATACGCCACCACGCTAGGCTGATTTTGTATTTTTAGTAGAGACTGGTGGTCTCCTTGTTGGTCAGTGAGGTGCAATTTAAACAATAAAGTGCACCCATTTTAAATGTCCAAATTGATGCATTTTGGCAAATGGGTATGTTTATGTAACCAATACCACAATTAAAACACAGAATGCTTCCATAACAATGACAACATTTCTTGTGATACTTTCTCATCATTTTCCCTCTATACACACCTGGACCCAGTAACCACTGAACTGCTTTCTGTCACTGTAGATTAGATTTGTCTTGCCTAGAATTATAGATAATTAGAATGTATAGTATGGACTCTTGTGGGTTTGGTTTTTTTGCTCTCTATACACTTGTTCAGATTTATTCTTAACGTCTTCCAGATTCATATATTTAGGAGTATAATTGTTGAATCATACATTAAAGCCATATCAAACTTGAGAACAAACTCCCATAGTGGTTTCCCAAAGTGAATTTAACCTTTTGCATTCTGGCCAGGATCTTTTCCCCAACGATACATCTTGGCCAACACTTGGTACTGCCAGTCACTTTAGTTTACCTATTATAATATGATGTAGTTTGTAGTCTGTAGTCTTATCTCTTTGTAGTTTTAATTAACATTTGCTTGATGACTAATGTTGTTGAGCCTATTTTCATGTCCTTGTTGGTTAGCTGTATATTTTATAAAACATCTATTCAGATTGGGTTGCCTTTTTATTATGAAATTGTAGAGTTTCATGGATTTGGATACTAGTAATTTATTGAGATACATATATAATTAATGATTTCACATATTATGTGACTTAAATTTTTATTTCCTTAATTTGTCTTCTTCATTGCAAAACGTTTTAGTATTGATGAACTACAATCTTTATATTTCTTCTCACACTGTTTGGAATTTTTTTTTGCTGTCTTTAATGTTATTTCTTTTTTGGCTTACCCCGACATCATCAATATTTGTTCCCTATGTTGCCTTTTAGAAATATAGTAGTTTTAGAGTTTATCCTTAGTTTTATCCTAGTTTTATGTTCCATTTTGACTATTTGGGGTGAGAGAGAAAAAAGAGAAAGGGAGAGACAGAGAGTGTGTGTGTGTGTATGCATAGTGAGAGATAAAGGTTAAGTTAAAGTCCTTTGTCATTGGACTATCTCGAAATTTCAGCACTATTTGTTGAAAAGACTAATTTTGACCACTGACTTAACTACACCCTTTTGTCATGTATACGTGGGCCTATTTTAGAGTCTATTTTGTTTTATCAATCTGTTTCTAACCTTAATTCAACACCAAACTGTCTTGATTACTATAGGACAATAATAAATCTTGAAATCAGAAATGTTTTGACTATGCAATATTTTTTGGATTTTCATATAAATTTTGTTATTGATTTATTTTTATATTAAAGCCTCATGTGATTAATTTTGATTGGGATTGCCTTTAACATATACTTCAATTTGGGAAGAATCGTCATCTTATATATCAAATTTTTTATACATTTATGTCTTTGTTAATTTTTCTCAGCAATGTTTTATAGTTTTCAGGTTTGAATCTTGCACATTTTTGTTAAATTTTTGTGTTTCATTTTTTTATGTTATGAATGCTACCTTTAAAATCTCTCTTTTTGATTGTTTGTTGCTACTTTATACAATTATAATTGATATTTTATATTCCCCTGTATCCCGTGACCTTTCCTGCTGATTAACTCACTGACTAAACGCTCTGATTATTTTTAGTAAGTTTTTATTGTTTTGTAATTTCCTTAGGAGTTTCGACATGCACATTTATGCCTCTTGGCATGTCTAGAAACAGAATTTTTGATGTCAAAAATGCTACATATTATGCTTTTAAATGTTTGACTATTATTTTTTCATCATAAAAGAAAATTTGTGGCTTTTATCGTTAAAGCAGTTAAATTACTTTCAAATCAGTTATCTGCTTGTAAACTTTGCTAACACAGGACTGAAATACATGCTAACATGGGTATATCATCTTATACTGAGTGTGCCCATTAAGTTGAATACCCCAGTTGATGCCTAATAATTCTCCACCTTGGCTGGTCAAAACTTGAAAGGCCATCCAACCTGGGTGAACTCTGGGAATAGTTCGGTTTACAAATTTCCATTCTTTTTTGAAGGGAGGCATTTATAAATGTGCAGTCCAATATACAGCAAAAGTTCTTTGTATATCTCTGAGATTATTTTTCTACATATCTCCTTCCTGAAACTCTGCCCTCTGACTTCAAGCTTCTTTAGACTTTCTAAACGCCAATTATCTTTTCTAACTCAGTGAAACTGCCAGGCTCATATTGAATACCTTATCCATGTCCTTGAATTTCTGAAATTGCCTTCAAGTATAAAGCCATAGTGAATGAACTCTCAACTTTCTTTGTTTCCATCTGTTAGGGATCACAGTCTGGTGCTTCCTCTTGTCCAAAATCTGCTAACAATTGTTTCATGTAGTTTTCTAACTGTTTATGTTGCAAGTTCAAGTTGTGAATGTCTTACTCTAGCATGGTCAGCAAGGTAAGTAACAAAATGTAGTTTATTTTAAAAATCACATCAATAAAAGAAAGCAAAATATGCAGTCTTTCCAATTAATTGAATTATATCAAACTAATAAATATGAATGAATTTCCCAGTTTAGAATATTATCACTTTAAATGAATAACAGTATAGCTCCAGAATCTAAAATGATTGACCATATGTGTATATATACAAGTGTATGTGTGTGTGTATGTTTATAATAATTAATATATTGTTATATAATTAATTGATTATAAAATTGATATATTGTTATATATCACACACACATATATATGTATATCCTTGTAGTAGAAGGAGAACCGGTATAAAATTCAATATTTTCTAATTTTATACAAATATTATATTAAATAAATGCTTAACATCCTGATGAAAACAAATACATTTTGAAACAATATCATGATCATAAAAATATAAAACAAAGGAGTAATAATTTATATTGCACATAGAGAAGAGGTTAGAAATTCCTATGGTGTCTTAGTGATGGTGAAATAAATCATGATAAATGCAGTCTTATTTTTTACAAAAAATAGGATGTTTCCTTAGTGGCACATGTTCCACTAAATCATTTGCTGTTTTTTTTTTTCATTAACTTTTTTTAACTATCCTAATCTATACTTTTATAATCAATTAATTCTTAGCTTGCTTATTTCAAACCAAGAACATGTATTAGTTAGTCTATAAGTTGGAGTGAGGCTGTATAAATTAGAAAAAACTGGGGCACATAGGCTATTTTCTAATTGTATAAAATAATACAAACTATTTTTATCTAAATCAATACATATGAATTGAACAAACCAATATGAGGAGAGCAATCTTTGTCTATTCAGAATAAAATTGAAAAATTTTTCCTTTGTTTGTAAAAGTATTGCTTCGTTTGTAAAAATATTCCTTTGTTTGTACAATATTCAGTGGCAGAAATGGTCTCTAAACTAAACCTCTCCTTCCCACAGATTTCACACATCTTTATCACACAGAACTATCTCTTTTCAATAATCTTTTTTGTTATAGTGCCAGGGAATATTATTTATTGCACTCACAATAGCAGTCAAGCCAGCACACTGAAACAAAATAATTTATATTTTAGTAGTTAGATATGGTGACAAAGTGTAATATTGGAGATTTGATCTGACACTAAACATTTAAGTGCACTTTATGGTTTAGCTGTTGTATTGATAGAATTACAGGCAACTTAAGTGATTAAGTTTGTGACAGGTATAAGAAACAAATGGTAAATAATGATATAAAAAACATTAATAGTTTTAACAACTACAATTTTATTCACGGTGAATCATATTTCAGTTTTCTGACCCATATGCCACATCTTAATTCATTTTTATCATTCCATTTTGATGTAACCAAAATAGTAATACGAAGAATTTAGGGGAAGTTGGATATCGTATGTTAAGGGGTGTGTGTGTATGCATGCACAATATTAATACAATACATACAATAAATTATTGTAAGTAAAAATGGTCTAATGACATTACTCATTCTGAAAACTCTTTTATGAAACCATTTTGAATATTTCTCCAAATATGTTAGATTGCCCTTCAAAAAGACATTCTAATATTGTTCATATTTTTATTGCAAAGAGAAACAATTTAGGTAGATATATAATGTACACATACAGTTTTGTTGTAGACCAATTTTGTCCTCCCAAAATTGATATGTGAAGCATTAACCCACAAGTGGCTGTATTTGGAGACAGGGCCTTTAGGCAGGTTACTAAGGTTAAAGGAAATCGTAAGGGTGAATCCTAATCCAATAGGACATGCGTCCTTATAAAAAAAGAAAGAGACATCAGAGCTCTCTTTCTTCACCTGTGCACAGAGGAAAGGCCACATGAGGACACAGCAAGAAGGCAGCTGTCTGTCTGCCAGGAAGAAACCTCACCAGAAACTAACCATGCTAGTACCTTGATCTTGGACTTCTAGCCTCTGGAACTCAGAGAGAATAAATTGGTGTGGTTTCCCCTTCTCAATCTGTGGTATTATATAATAGCAATCCAAGCAGACTGAGACAGATTTTGGTACTAGGAGTGGGATGCTGCTGTAACAAGCACCTAAAAATGTGGCTTTGGGTTTGGGTGGGTGATGGGTATAGATTGGAAAATTTTGAAGTGCATTCTAAAATATGGTTAGATTCCCTTGAAGAGATTATTGGTAGAAATGTGAATGTTAAAGGTGATTCTGATGAGATTTCAAAAGGAAATAAGAGACGTGCTATGAGAAACTGAAGGAAAGATGACCCGTGTTATAAAGTGGCAAAGAACTTGGCTGAACTATGTTATAGTGTTTTGTGGAAAGTAGAACTTAAAAGCAAAGAAGTTATATATTTAGCTAATGAAATTTCTAAGCAAAGAGTTAAAGATATCGCCTGATTTCTCTTTATTGCTTATAGTAAAGTATAGGATAAGAAAAATAAATTAAATAAATTGTTAACCATAAGGAAACCAGAACTAAAAGATTTGGGAAAATCTCAGTTATCCATACTGCAAAAAAATGAAATATGTGTTTTAAAGAAAACTCCAAAGATGTGGCTGGATAACCACTCCCTAAGGTGGCTATCCATGGAGTTAATCAGCCATTTCAACAGAGGCAGGAAGAGTGATGGGATGATATAAGCACAGTCACTGTCAGTTTCACCAAGGGGAAACTAGTATCATGAGATACTAGGCCACCAATTATTATGGTTCCTATAGGTGTTCAATTACTTTAAAAGCTTTTTATTAAATATGAATGAATTACATTACTATGCATGGTGGAGAGTTGGTAGTTAACTACATTCTGCCATAGCTTTGTTAGGAATCAGCTTGGATTGTGAATTAGTGGGAATGTAAATTAGTTCAACCATTGTGGAAGACAGTGTGGCAATTCCTCAAAGAGCTAAAGACATAAATACCATTTGACACAGCAATCCCATTACTAGATATATACCCAAAGGAATATAAATTGTTGTATTATATAGACACATGTGTGCATAAGTTCATTGCAGCACTATTCACAAAAGCAAATACATGAAATCAATCTCAATGTCTATCAGTGATAGACTAGAAAAAAAATGTAGTACACATACATGGTAGAATACTAGGGAGCCATAAAAAAGAAGGATATCATGTTCTTTGCGGGGACATGGATGAGCTGGAGACCATTATCTTTAGCAAACCAACACAGGAACAGAAAACCAAATACCGCGTGTTCTCACTAAGTGGGAGCTAAATGATAAAAACACATGGAGGCATAGAGGGGGATAACACACACTGGGGACTACTGGAGACTGGAGGGTGGGAGGAGGGGGAGGATCAGGAAAAATAACTAATTGGTACTAGGCTTAATACTTGGGTGATGAAATAATCTGTACAACAACCCCCCATGACACAAGTTTATGTATGTAACAAACCTGCACTTTTACCCCTGAACTTAAAATAAAAGTTTAAAAAAATGAAGGGGAAAACATACACACACATGTACACACACACATACACACACACAAGAATCAGAAGTATTAAAATGAATGTGCTTATTTAAAAATACAGTAAGAAATTTCACTTTCTGTGCTTTGTAAATGTTAGCATATTTAATATTTTGAAATAGCTTTATTGGATGCTGATAATTTCTCCTAAGAAAGACCCTCAAAATTGTCATATTGTGCTGAAGTATGTCTTTTGCCCCCAAAAAAAAAAAAAAAACATGAAAATCACACACGACATACTCTGCATAAAACGTTATCTCGAAATAATTTTTTTTTTTTTGAGATGGAGTTTCGCTCTTGTTGCCCAGGCTGGAGTGCAATGGCGCGATCTCGGCTCACTGCAACCTCCACCTCCCAGGTTCAAGCAATTCTCCTGCCTCAGCCTCCCGAGTAGCTGGGATTACAGGCATGCACCACCATGCCCGGTTAATTTTGTATTTTTAGTAGACCTGGGGTTTCTCCATGTTGAGGCCGGTCTCGAACTCCTGACCTCAAGTGATCTGCCCGCCTCAGCCTCCCAAAGTGCTGGGATTACAGGCGTGAGCCACTGCGCCCGGCCCCAGATAAATTTGTAAAGCTGCTTTATGATTAATCCGGAGTAAAACTTGCCAGTTCTACTGACCACCATAGGCATTCAAGATCCCACGGCACTCTTTGAAAAACCAAAGGTATTAACTCTGCAGTTCTGGCCTTACTCCAAATCTATTAATTAAATTCTTCCTACCTTATATTCCCCACATATTTCCAATTAGAAAAATTATTTTTTCATTTCTTTTTGATATTGCTTTTGGGAAGTAGTTCTGGCACAAATCTCCTGTATATGTTCTCCCTTGGAATTTCACTTTTCAACACAGTTTGAAATTTGGAATCGATGACATCTTTATATTTAAGGTGTGCCACCATCTAATAAACTGTGGCAACGTGCACTATTGGACGTTGCATAGAAAATTTCGTTCAGCCAATATGTGGTATCTTGCTTATATTTTTTCATTTCTTAATCATAAAACATCATGAGAGAAGAGGAAATGGCAACTTGCAAGATATTTTAATCTACAGAGAGGGATTTCCTGACAAGAAAGCAGAAGTTTATGCTAATCAAAACAGAGCTAGGAATTGCCAAGCTTTCGTTCTTTCCTTTTTTTTTTTTTTTTTAACTTATAAACCTCACAGCTGGCTATGTGGTGAGACTAACAGATGGGATGAATTATATATTTAAAGAGCCTTTGACATCACATCAAAAACCTTTTGTTCTGTAAATGGAACTTTACTATTTTTCCACTTATTACAGTCATAACATTCTTGCATTTCATTAAAATGTTATAGGTAAACCATAAAATACCTATTAAAGAGTTTAAGTTGTCCATTACAAATGACAAAGCAATATCAAAGAGAATGCTAAAAATTATATTTTAAACACCAATTTATTTTTTACTCTGTGAAAAATATGTTATCCTTCTGCACTAGTTAAAAATTATCTTTTTTTTTCATTTTCTGACACTAAGAATATTTCTAAGTCAATGTTTATTTCAGGAATCTAATCACTGTCAAAGAAGCATGGTACAGAAGCCAATGCCAGCAGAAGCTTCCTGGCTTTCTGACAGACTTTTTATTTGCAAGTGGAGTTTGATCATGTAAAGACAGAACTTCAGATGGATTAATCCATTAATTCATGAAATATTATCTGAGTACCTATTATGTAATATACATGGATCTGAAAGTAAAATAGTCCTTAACCTCAAGAACTTTGCATTTTATTGGGTAAGAAAGACAATAAACACCTGAGCAAATAAATAAATAAGGTCAAGTGGTTGTAAGAACTGCGGGAAAAAGGGTAGAATAAAGACATTGAAGAAATAATATTATTCGTCTAAGGTGGTCAGGGATGCTGTCTCTGAAAAGGTGCTGTTTGAACAAAACCATTAAAGAGTGCTGGTGTGAACAATGTAGAACGTATAGAGAAATTTTTTTCTAAATGATACAACCGTAATTGCATGTTACTTATTAAAGAAGGATGCTTGCTGTGTTTGAGAAACTGTTGGAGGAAACCATATCTGCACTAAAATAAGCAAAGGAAAGAAGAGATGCTTGTGTGGGAATAGAACATTATATAGGATAATGTGAAGACACTGGCTTTTTTCTGAGTGTTTTTAAGGGTAGAGTTCAAAGGAAAAGTACAAGGGGCTTATTATGGAGTCCCTTTAAATAACCCAAGTTTGAAACGATGGTAACTTACACCAGTGTTAAGCAGTGGTGATTAGCAGCTGTTGAATTCTGGAGGTAGTTTTGAAGCTAAAAACTGTAAAAGATCTGATGGATCAAATGTTCATAGAAGAGAAAGAAAAGCATGATGAATCACCATGAGGATTGTGTCCTCTTACAAGAATAAAGTTGTAATTTAGTGAAATGAGTAATAGAGGATGTGGTGGATTAACTAGTATCTTCCCCCAAATTCCTATCTACACAGAATCTCAGAATGTGATCTTATTTGGAATCAGGGTATTTCTAGATCCTTAAAATAAAGATGTAGATAAGATGATACTAGATTAGGGCAGGTCCCAAATCCAATGAGGATGTCCTTATAAGAGACAGGAAAGGACACAGAGACACAAAGAGAAGAAGGCAATGTAAAGACAGAGGCAGAGATTGAAGTAATGTCTCTACAAGCCAAGGGGCACCAAAGATTACTGGTGATCAACAGAAGCTAGGAGAAAGACATGAAGTGGATTCATTTTCATCACCTCTGGAATAAATCAATTTTGACAACACCTTATTTCAGGTGTCGAACTGAGAGAATAAATTTCTGTTGTATTAAGCCACCAAGTTTGTGGTAATTTGTGATGGCAGCCTAAAAACAGACACAGATGGGACATGAGAAATCTGGTGTTAGTGGGAATCAGTAGTTTGAATCTGTGCCATATTTAGCACACATCTAAGATATTTAGTACACATCTAAGAAAAAATGACAAGTTGGCAAATTTGGTCATAGAAGTCTGGAGTTCAGAGGTCTAGTTAAGCCCATTATAATTATTGTGAATCATTAGGGAATTGTTGATATTTAAAGTTGTCGGTGAACGACACCACCTGTGGAATGAGTGTAACTGTGTAAAAATTGATAGGAGTAATTGTCATTGGCTATGCCAACATTTACCATTCAATGAACTGAGAAACCACCAAAGCAGATTGAGAAGGAATAAAAGCCAGTGGAGAGTTGCAAGCAGAAGATCCTTTGCCAACTAATAACAAGTTAGGTAAGATGAATAATGGGAATTGAATATTGAGTTTAATAACATGAAGATTACTGTTGACATTTTTAACAGTTACTTTCATGGAGGGTAAGCAAGTAAGTACTTAATTGGCTTGGGTTTCAAAGGAAATGAACAACATTTAATTTGAAGTTCAAGTTTTGATGTTTGGAAAGTTTGGGAGTTTGGAAATAGGAACAGAAAAATGGGACAGACACTTGAGGCGGATGTAGGTTCAAAACATAGGATTGACTTTCCTAGTTCACAATAATAAAAATAAATATCGGCTCTACTAAAATGTTGAAGTCATTCTAGTATTCTTAGCGGACCACAGATTTCTTGAGAAATTTACATGTTGACATAATTGCAACACATTTGACTATGAATAAATAACAGTATAATTATGTATTTTGATATTTTGTCCCAGTGCATAAGTACATAAATACACAAAAATTGTATGTAAAAATGGAAAATATGAGGGGACTAATATTAAAATGTCTTCTACTCTGGCTCTAAACAACAAAAAAGCTCAACTATCCAAAATTTGATATAAAATTATGTGATAGTTAATTTCTATAATACTGAACCTACAGAACTTTAAACACTATTGACGTCATCACATAAATGTTAATATTGTCAATTATAAGAGCTTTTGCATTATTTTATTAAAATTATTTGAAATATGGAAGATGTTTTCCTCATTCAGTTGTGTCATAATTAGAAACAAAGAGTATATAATTTATATAATGATAATAACAGACTTAATATTGGCATGTACTCTAAGTACTGATAATGTTTGATTAATTTGTTATGCCTCTGACTGACTCCCTCTGTATACATTTTTATTATCCTTTTATGCTTTATTTTTTATCTGTTTTATTAAAATTACTTTAAACCATGTTTGTGGGAAAATTAAGTTGCATGTATTTTACTAAAATCCTCATAGAACTAATTTATTTTTGGTATTTTTATAGCACATTAATATTTTTCTTTTATTGAAATTGTCCTGATTTACTGACATTACACTGTTTTCATTGAGATAAGAAAATTTTGAATAAAATGTTCTACAATGATTTTACTCATCATTCATTATTTGATCATTGAAATATTATTGACTATAAGCTTTGCCTTTGCCAACTTAATATTTGTTGCTATTGTATCTACCATGTCAAAAGGTCTTCTGCCCACACTTTTAGCTCTAAATTTGTCTAGAATGCTTATTTTCATGTCAATTTTACACAGAATTGCTTTTTATCATATTCACTCATTCATTACTTGATTTTACTTTGCATTCTTTCCAGAAAGCATAAAATTCCTCAGTTCACTTTACTTCACTTTTTACCATCAGTAAAAATATGTTAACATTTTATTCTTCTATTTATGAACATTACTCTGTATAGATTTAGCCAATATCAATTGCATATTTATGCCAATTTTGTGAAAAGAAGTATGTATGAAATGAAAAGCTAGGAAATTTATGCGTAGAAAATACATTAGATAATTATGGCATAACTTCTGAGATATTTTCAGTATTGCACTTTTACTTAGAACTATATTGCTAATGCAATTCTTTCACATATTTAGTACCATTTTATTAATATATATTGTGTACTTTCTGTGTGTCTCGACAGATTAAATAATCAACAATAAATGAGGAGTTAAAAATTGTTAGATATAAATGGTGAATTAACCAGGTGCAGTGGCTCACATCTGTAATCCCAGTACTTTGAGAGGCCAAGGCAGGAGGATCACTTGAGCCCAGGAGTTCGAGGTTGCAGTGAGCTATAGTCACACCACTGCACTCCGACCTGCACAACAGAGCATAACCCCGTCAATTAAAAAAAAAAGAGAAAGAGAGAGAGAAAATTAAAGGAGAAAATGAACTAGTATCATTTTTATTTTGGTAAGGTAGACTTTGTTAAATTCTATAAAATTATAATGTACAAGAATTCGAAGCACTGGTATAGCATATGTACTGTTGTTTAACATTTTATTTGAATCTCTAATTAAAAAACATTTTATAAGATAAATAATTTACATTCCTGGCAAAAAGAATAACTTCTTCCATTTTTGATTAAGAGTTTAGCATTGAAATTCATGTGTTACTTTTAGCTGAAGGAATTATATTTACCATCATTCACTGTAAATAAGCAAAAGGAAACACAGCATATTAACTCCATACAGGGGACAGGCAAAATTTTTGTTGACCTAGGTCCCTTCTTTCTAATAATATGCATTACATGTTTTATCAGCTAAACGTCTGGTATTCATCTCCATATCCATGATATTCCTTTACTGTACTTGGGTTCCGCCCTCTCTGCCATCGTTCAAAAGCGCCTCCAGGAAAGTAGTGCAGTGCTGTTGTAGGACTCACTCTTTTCTCAGGGATTATCATTCTATATTGACTTTTGTCCCATTTTAATAGTTGTTTAGGCAAAAAGGGCAAATATAATAACAATTATTCCATCATAATGGAAACAAATTCTGTAGTTTATTTTGGGTAGTTTCCATTCCTACAATCGTTTTACCAATCTTTTATTCTGCACAATCCTAAAAAGCTGTTAAATTGATCCAATGATATTTTCACTTTAGACATGGTATTTTTCATCTCTACATATTTGGTTGATTTCCCCTTTTATGTCATCCACATGTTTTCATTTAAATTCTTGAACATATTCATAACACATCTTTTGAAGTCCATGTCTGCTAAGTTCATCATCTCTCATTTTTTGGTTCTATTTCTATTGATTGATTTTTCTCCTGAGGGGAATGGGATTTTCATGTCTTTTCATATGAAGAGTTATATTTTAAAAGATGCTGGGAACTGTAATTGTTATATTTTAAGTCTTTGAGTCTGTCTTTTAAAGAATATTGAGTATTTTGGGTTTGTTTATTTCCTTGCTTCGGTTAAGCAGTTACATGAAAATATATTTGATCATTTCAAGGATACATACTATTTCCATGACACAACTGTTGGCATTAACCTGGATCACTGGCAGAGGTAATGTTTGTCAGTTTTGTCCACTGAAAAGTTACTCTTGTTTTCTTTTTTCCATACTGTGCTTATTAGAAGCAAGTCACTATAAGTAGTCCATACTTAAAGGGTGGAGAGTTATGTGGCCCCCCACTGAGAGCAGATTATCTGCATAAATTATTCTGAATACATCTTTGTTGGAGAATTTGTCTCTTTTCCAGCATTACTTTAGTTCTTTAAACATTTATTTATATCAATATGGACTCATGAATATTTATTTTAAACTATTGGTTATTATTCAGTACTATATTATGTATTGTCTTGCTCAAATATTTCCATCTTAGGCCATTGGAAGCTCTTTCACCATTGGTTCCAATATCCCTTTGATTTAATCTTATACTTGTGTTTGTGTGCTTGCTTGTTTGTTTGTTTTGTTTTCGTTTTGTTTTTTGAGCAATTCTTCACATTTTGGCATCACAACATGCTTCAAGATAAAATTGTATATTTCTAGTCCTAGTCCTAGAATGAATTATTTTACTGGCTTATTTTATTGGTGAATGGCATTACAAATCATGATCTAGATGCTAGGAGTATCACATTAACTTTTTGCAGAAAAAAATATAAAAAATTATTATCTAATTCATAGCATTTCTTTTTAGTATCTGTGTGCTAATTCTAACATCTAGGTCATCTGTGTGTCTTTCCAGATTGCATTTTTCCTCTTTTTTTCCTACTTTATATTTTATTCTTTTTTTCATAAGATGATCCAATAGAGGTGATGAATTATATTGATTCTAAATACTGTTCTGTTCCTTTGATGAATGATATATTTTTAACAACTTGCAAATTACTGGACAGTCAGCTTGATTTTGATGTTTGAATACAGAAATTGTTAGGAAAGTTCTATTTTGGTGTTGATCTCAGTTCAAGAGTATACATCTTTAACTGTGAAGTGATGCATACTCCTATGATACGTCTCTTCTGGGATTTAATTGAAACGTCTATTTTGTTAGCCAAACCTCTATAATAATCATGTTTCAAACCCCAAATTCTGCCTCTCAAGTAATATGAAGTAACTGAAATTTCTGCATAAATTCTTCGGCTTATGTCTATCTTTTTTCTATCATTTTTCTTCAAGTCTCATCCTTTGTATGAACATTTAAGAATCTGCAAAGGTCTTGAGAGAAATCTGAATGCAGAATTTCTGGCTAACTGCTTCTTGAATCTGTCTTTAAGAGACATACACCTTTAAGAGATGTACACCCTGTATTTAAGCCCTTATGTCATTTCCAAAGTTTTACCTCTAACTTTTAGCCTAGTAGGACTGAATGAAGAGATAAGAGAGCAGGGGAGCCATTATGTTAAAATATGAGGAATTAGCATAACATTCAATTAATTTTCAAATACTGGGCTATTTTTCTTTCACATCATTTTTCTTTATATTTAACATTAAGAAGCAAGTATATAGTGATAAAATATTTCCATAAATGTATTTAGATAATTGTTTTCAAATAAAAATAAAATTTATAGTTTTGAATATGTTGTCAGAAAAATTCTTAATATATTTGTTCTAATATAGAAAATGGTATTAATAGAAAATATGCTAATTATAGATGAGTTATAATAGAATGAGTTTTTAATTAAATTGTGAAAAACACCTGTGTATATACATATATGTATACATGTACGTATATACATATATACATATATGTATATACACAGGTGTTTTTCACAATTCACGTATATATACATATATACGTACATGTATACATATATACATATATACAAATACATTATATAATAATTATAATAAATAACAAGTAGCATACTAAAATAATGTTATACATAAAATAATGTGAGATATATCAATGATGTGATAAAGCCTATTTTACCCTTCTAAAACATATACATATGCATATTTGTGCTGAATTTTAGAATAATAACATTAATACCCATTAGTAGACCTTGTGAAAATATTAGATAGATATATTATGAGATGTGAATTATAATAAATATGGATACAATAGAAGAGTTCTACTTCAACTGTTGAATAGCCAATTAACGAAATTGTTGGTGTCATTCTAAATTGTTGGCTTATTATTTATCTAAAATTTAGCAGGTTCTCACTGTCTCCCTCATCAAAACCAGGAATCCTTGTTAGTGATCTTAGTATGAGATTTGAACTTTCAAATAAGTATTAGTGTTATTAATTCTAATTAATTATACTTTCTTGTTAAAAAGAAATGAGAAAATTATCTCATCTAACTATTATAATAATGTAAAGAACAAAATTTCTTTAAAAATTGCTTACCAAATGACGTAGTAAAAATTATCTGTATTGGCTTATTATTATTTGAGATGGAGTCTCACTCTGTTGCCCAGGCTGGAGTGCAGTGGCGTGGTCTCAGCTCACTGCAACCTCCACCTCCCGGGTTCAAGCAGTTCTCCTCCTCAGCCTCCCGAGTAGCTGGGATTACAGGCATCCGCCACCATGCCTGGCTAATTTTTGTATTTTTAGTAGAGATCGTGTCTTATCATGTTGACTAGGCTGGTCTTGAACTCTTGACCTCATGATCCACCCGCCTCGGCCTCCCAAAGTGCTGGGATTACACGCGTGAGCCACCACGGCTGGCCTATATAGGCTTATTATCTATGAACAACAAAAATATTACTTTTGTAACATAGGCATCAATATCCATAAGGAAAAAATAAAATGAGCCTAAAAGCAGCAGTCAAATATTCACAACAAATTTAAACAAAGAAAAAATAAACAAAATGCAGAATGAATGGAGCAGTGTGAAGAACTAACATTGCAAAATTGGAACATTGAAACATAGGAGAAACATGACAAAGTTTCTTTTTACTAAAATTCAACAAATTAGAGAATCAAACAATATTGACTATGTTAGAAAGATAGCAATTATTACTGCTACTGAAAATAGTAGAAAGTAATTTAGATAGATAAATTATAAAGATGTTATATTAAATAAAAATAGTACTAAATAGTACCAAAAAGAAAAATGGAAAAAATGAAACATTTAATTATATTTCAGGCAAACAGCCATTAAAAGACCTTCCTGCCTATACTTGCATATATTTGAGTTATAGGAATACATTTTTAAAAACTCTACAATTATTCAAACTATAAAACATTCAGAATAAGAAATAACAAACTTCTGAAATATTCAATTAAAAAATTAATAAACATCTACGGAGCTTTGAGAAGGAAAGTTTTTTATTCAATAACTTCTATTTATTTAGATTCGAGTGCATGTGAAAGATATTTTGAGATCTGCAATGTTTGGGAAGGTTAAAGATAATATATTTCCCTCAGATCATTTGTTGAAAATATAATCGATATATTGCAATTTACTAAGAAACAGATAAAAATGAAAATAAGGAAGAAAATTTACACAAAATCCTGGTGAATGCCAAGGGAAATGATAACATCTGTTAGGTGGATCAGCGTTAGTCCGACACACTTATTTTTAATCCTTGATATGCCCATTTTTAGTGATTTAAGCAAGTTACTTAAACACTCCACCTCTATTTTCTTCCTGTTACCAATGATGATAATGGTTGTTTTCAGAATTAAGCAAGATTTTTTTCTGATAAATCTGTAGTCTAATGTCTGGACATAGAGTGTCTGCCATTAGAATGATGAAAATGGTAATGATGATAACAGATGATGACATAGCAGTCAAATGGGATATTTCAAGTTATGCTTTTCAAGATTTTATAACAAAGTAAAGCATTCTTATATGTTAATAAATTAAAAGAATATACATAATTACTTATGCAGTAAGATTCCAATTAATCTTAAAGAGAAAAACAAAACAATTATACAAAAACTGTAAAAAGTAATAGTGTAGTATTTTTAGCAGTTGTTCTTGAATACAGGGACAGAGATTATTTTTGTTTTTGTTTTTGTTTTGAGACGGAGTTTCATTCTTGTCGCTCAGACTAGAATGCAATGGCGCTGTCTCAGCTCACTGCAACCCCCGCCTCCCAGCTTCAAGCGATTCGCCTGCCTCAGCTTCCCAAGTAGCTGGAATTACAGGCGCCTGCCACCACTCCCAGCTAATTTCACCATGTTGGTTTCAGCATGCTGGCAGAGATTATTTTCTTTAATTGCCTGTAGGTTACAAAATTCAAAAATAAACCTGTATTTTATTAAAATAAAAAGCAAATGTTATTTTTAAAAAAATATGGTCAAAATATCCAAACAACAGGATCTCTACATTGAGTTATCTTCCCTATCTTCGAATCTGTACATTTCCCTCCATTCCCTCCTTCATTCTCTATTATATATGTATCTAGGTCCATATATGTCTATAATGTAAGAAAACACCATCCTTAACAAAATCCTTAATCCTGGATGAAATAGCTAATTATTTTAACTTCTTTAGTTACCTTGCAATTTTTTATTTGGGATTTTTTCAGATAGTTATGTGTGTGTGTGTGTGTGTGTGTGTGTGTGTGTGTGTAGGAGTAACTTTATAAACTTTATTTTAATATAATTTGCCCATTTATTTGTTTAACTGTGATAGAATAACTATAACGTATTTTATACATAATCATCTCTATGCTTACCAGTCCCCCCCAATAAAACAGAGAAAGAATAAAGACCTCGTGAAAAATAATATTTAATTAATAAATAAGAGCAGGAAAAGGAATTGGATACAACCACACTTAAAAACAATTCCTAAAGAAGTAACACATTTATTTCTGTTTATTTTTCTGTATTTACTTTTTAGTTTCTTTTCCTGAAAAGCTATACCCCCTCACATAAATCAATTTAAATCCTGCACTTCCTTTTACAGGGACCTTTATTTCTTCCTCTCCATGAGCAGTTTCTGACATCCTCAGTTACTGCGATCTTCCTTTCCTGGAGGCCTATAGATCCTGAAATTGTACCAATCAATCTTGTCTTGTCTTGTCCTTTAGTTTCTGGTATTGATTTTAAGCTGTTTCTTAGATGACTCCTGCTTAAATTGTAAGTGCCTTCAATTGTCAGATACACAGCACGTGCTTAGAAAAATTCTTGGTGATTCCAGAAGGACAAAACAAGTAGAAGAGCTAAAGAATGCTTTCAATTGACTAAAATTTTGCTGAACAGACAACAATCAATTTATTGTATGAGGATAACATTTTTGAGTCAAAATTATATCCTGCCTATCAAACATAGGTAAGACCGTTTAAGAAAGCAAAATATTTTGTCTTTGGCTATATATGACCGTTCTCCCATTATTCCCTCAGCTATGCAGAATTTGATTGAAGGCTGCCTTTCCTGAAGTGTCTTTATATTAAACTGTAGCTAACTCTTCCTTTTCAAACCATCAAAACTGAATTCTCTCACTAGAAACAGATTATTTTAGTTTCAGAGACAAAGTGGTCAAATTAATTTAGATGTGAGTAGTTGTTAAGATGGATCAATTCCAGCCATACATTCACCTTAGAAGTGATATTTGCAATGGTGCCATATCACAATATAGCCATCCCAGTTGATTGCATTTGCACAGTGCACTGTGGTCTATCCTGAATACTCTTTCCCTTCATTTATTTTTAAATGTTTTTGATCAAACGAATGCACCCTCTCTTGGTCTGTTTCTTTATATATAAAATGACAAGTTTATGTCTGATGAGGTTTAAGATCCCTTTTTGTTCTAAAATTTTGAAATAAACTAGCTAGATTACATTTAATGCTTGACATATTCCAGAAATTCTGCTAAGTATTTATTATATAAGGTAAGTATTGTTACATCTGTCCATTGAGGAACATGAAATTCAGAAAATAAAAGAAAATGATGTAATTGCGAATATCCTATGGTTTGTTCATTAGATTACATTGAATTCTCTTAACTTTCAGTCAGTTCAGATCTCTCTCTCTTTCTCTCTCTCTCTCTCTCTGTGTGTGTGTGTGTGTGTGTGTGTGTGTGTGTGTGTGTAGACAGTGGTTTACAAAAAATTAAAGCCAGATTGGACTACAGCTAGTTCTACTTTCCAGAAAAGTGGCATAAGTCTCTAAGTGGACAACTAAAAATCCCCATAGTGCTTTTCATATTGAAACTAGAGAAGTAAAAGGATAACTGAAATCTTAAAGTCATTCAAAGTCATGGTAAATTACTGCCAATTCCTTCTTTTTGGTATATGAGGAAAGTCTGTGTCTTGCCCTTATTTTTGTGTGTTTGGTTGTTTTGCATAGCTGTACAAGTTCAGTCAGGACTTAATAACCAAAGATAGAACTCAAAGTGGTGGGAAGCATAAATGGAATTAAATTGCTCTACATAATATTAATAAACATAACAAAATACAAAATCAAATCTCCAGGCATCCTGAGGATAAGAAGGAGAATGAACAAAGTAATAAGCAAGTAAGGACACAAAACAACATTAGAAGCTGGAACTTGTAATCAAACCCAGTAGAAAGGTAAATAAATAAATTTAAGAGCAGAAATATATACTGTTCCCATGAGTATATACAGAATTTTGGGTTTAGGTTATCTAACACCCCAGTCAGTGAAACACAGTACACAAGTGTCTGGGATCCTGAAATAAACATTCATAGGCATGTAAGTTCTTGACTGCTGTGTATTTGGCAGATGTTTGTTATTTGATCCCTGCCAATTATTATTATTATTTTTGGCTGGGATAAGGTTAAATAAATAAAACAAAATAAAATATATTTTATTATATATGAATATTATATATTTACATAAATGTATGTATGGACAGAAAAATAGAGCTAATGATTTCTAATTTTAGTATATCTAATATTCATCTTGAAAGCTAGTAAAACATTCATATTCCAAGGGCCCACCATTTAGAAATTCTGATTTAATAGATGTGAGGTTTTGTTCAGGAATCTGTGCTACAACAATGAACAGATAGGTTATAAGAAGACATATTTTTAAAAATCACTTTTTTAAATAATTAGAGACAAAAGTTTAACTAGAGTCAAACTTCCATTTAAAAATAATTAACTACGTATTTTTCTTTAACTTAATAAATTGATTCTTTCTCCAATATGTAATTACATTATTAACAAGTAATTATGTTGACTCATGCTTTTCAGTTTCTTGGGCTCTGTTGAGTTAGTAAGTTTGATTCTGAGAGTTAAATTTATTTATATTATTTAGAATAATACTGCATTGGAACTTTATTGTAACCCGCAGAGACTGAGTTTTAAGATGCTTCCGAATATAGTATTTTTTATTATCATTAGTAATATGAAAATGTTTATAATTTATTTAGTACATATTTTACTAAGTACTGTGCCTGGAACATTATATGTTATTTTTACTTTCTCCACAAATCTTCTCTAGAAATCAGAATTCTAACACTATTGACTCCCAATTCATGCTTCTTCATTTTTACAGTTTTTAAACTTCATTTTTACGTATGTGCCAACCAGTTAGATGATATTCCCACTTATTCATTAATTTATTCCATTAGATTATCTAATAAGTAATGTAATTATTACAAAATAGGTGATAAAATATCAATAGAATCATTAAAATGTACTTATACATGTTAGGTTGATTTTTTAAGTGCTCAAAGTCCATTCTGTGGAGATAAGTTGAATTATTTTGTTTTACATTGATAATTCTTTACCTGGAATCACTTGGTAAAGCAGATTTTTTCTCCTTATTTATTTTATTTATATTTAAGTTTTATATTAGACAATTATTAAATAAATCTAAGACTCAAAACATTATAATAATTAACACTTAAATTATATACTACATAATAAGTAACACTTTAACTACATTCTACAATGTTTCCAAAAAAATTTTTTTAAAGAAAGATTATAAAGATACCAAGTGTTACAAGCATTGTCTAAAGCAGCTAATGCCAGTTGCTTCAAAATCATGAAAAGTTAGCCATGTATATATTTTAAATCAATTTAAAAACTTTCATACACATTTTAGTTTATTTTATCTGTGCACAGCATCTAACTGGTGATCTCTGTTCTACATTTATAGGCTACAGTGTATCTATGGTGTCTGCTAGCTTTAAAGATATAAGTTGCAGTAAAAACCATCTTAAATAAGTCAATAGGATAGACTATTGATCTGTGCAGTCTCTAGCAAATTATTAAAGAGATCTCAAATATGCAAGTGATTTTTAACAGCTTTATTGAGGTATAATTGATATATCATAAAAACTGTATACTTTTATTGTATATAATTTTATGAATTTGGACCTATGCATGTGACGGTTGATACCATCATCACTATTAAGTAATAAACATTTCCATTACCTCCGAAGTTTCCTGTCTCTATGTGTTTTTGTTTTGTTTTTGGATGTGTGTGCATATGTGTGATTTTGTTTTGTTTGTTTTTTGGTGGAAAGAACATGAGTTCTACCGTCCTAACAAATTTGTAAGTAAATAGTAGCATATTGTTAACTAAAGGCACTTGGTTGTACAACAGATCTCTAGAACTTTTTCATCTTGTAGAACTGAAATTTTATATCCAATAAACAATGACTCCCTGTTTTCCCCCTCCCCAGCACCTGGCAACCACCATTCTATTTTCTGCTTCTATATTTTATGTACCTCATGTAAGTGTCATTTTACAGTGTTGGTCCATCTATCACTGACTTATTCCAGCCAGCGTAATATCCTCCAGGTTCATTCATGCTGTTGCTTTATGTCTGTGGAATGGCCGGACACAGAGAGTTAATGTTTTTAACCTTATATTATTTGAAAAGTTGTTTTAAAAACAAATTTCAGCATAGATGAGAATAAGTACTCATATAATAAATTGATTGCAACGCCAGATTAATAGGTTTTGACATTATGACCTTATAAGCAATATCATATTAAATTTGGCTTATAAGGGAAAGCAAAGGAGTATCTGAAAACAGGTGGAAATTAAGTAACTAAATGTCACATATAGGATGGTTTGAGGTACTCAGGTAAAGCAACAGTACTGTTTTAAATGTGTCAAAAGTGACACATTAATACCCTTAAGTAATATATTGCTAGATCTGGGACTCATTCTCTAATCTCCAAAGTGCATTAAATACATATAATTAGATAATGGAATTGAAAATGACTCTTTTAATATTTGGATGATTTCCCCCATCAAATTTAGTATTTCTGTAATAGTTAACCCATATATAACTCATATATGTATATATAGTTTATCTAAAATAAAGCCCATACCCTTTGCATTTGAGATAATAGGAAAGTTCATGTTTTGTTAGTTATATAAATTAATTAATTCTAAATAATTTAAGAAATGGAGATGCTTCAATAAAAAAGTGTAAAAGTTTGTCCACAAGTCTTAGAACTTCTGCATAAAACTATGCTCCCCTATGTCAGTGACATGCCTGTATCTCTTCCTGCCAAAAAACTAATATTTTGTGTCATTCAGAATTGAGAGCTCATAGAAAGCATTTCTGAGGTGACATAAAATCATGGCAACACTTCCCATATTACTTGTTATACCTACCGTTAAAAAGACATTTTGGGAGACTATCTGAAAATGCTTTAAAGATTTGAGAAATGAGATTTGAAGTAAATCCTGATGTCAAATATATATATATGTTTGAAATAAAATAGGTATAATGTTATTGGAATCACATTTACAAATAAAAAAAAATTATATGGCACCTATAAATTAAACCTGCATATAAGTAGGTCAGATTTGAAAGCTCTAGTAACTAGTTTAAAATTTACATATGCTCTGTGCCTATTATGTTAAGGCTTTTTTCCCTCAATATTTGCAAATCAATCCTTCATATAAATTTAAAAAGGAAAAATCAATCGACTCAAAGGTATTTTTAAAATAATTCAATCAGCATATAGAAATGCTCAGGATTCTTTAGCAAATGACATAATTATATCCCGTTATCTCGCCAGGATTAAATTCCTTGAGGCCAGGTTCCTTTCACCACTCTATCTCCAGTGTCCACACGTTGCCTGATACACATAGCATACATTCAAACATGAATAAAACACCATTCTAGAAATGAAGAAGCTCAAAGGTGAGCATAAGAAGCATATATAAACAAATCATTTCAATAAAGTATGGTAAGGGCTGAGTAAATATCCAGAGTACAGTGGTGGGATAAAAGAGGTAGCCATGTATTTCAGTTACAGGAAAAGGTTCCGGATCCAGACCGCAAGGGAGGATTATTGAATCTCGCTCAAGAAAGAATTCAGAGCTAGTCCATAGTGCAAAGTGAAATCAAGTTTTTTAGAAAGTAGAAGAATAAAAGAATGGTGGCCAGGCACAGTGGCTCACGCCTGTAATCCCAGCATTTTGGGAGGCCGAGGTGGGCAGATCACACGGTCAGGAGATTGAGACCATCCTGGCTAACACAGTGAAACCCCGCCTCTACTAAAAACACACAAAAAAATTAGCCGGGCGTGGTGGCGGGCGCCTGTAGTCCCAGCTACTCGGGAGGCTGAGGCAGGGGAATCGCATGAACCTGGGAGGCGGAGCTTGCAGTGAGCCGAGATTGTGCCACTGCACTCCAGCATGGGCGACAGAGGGAGACTAGCCTCAAAAAAAAAAAAAAAAAAAAAAAAAAAAAAAAAAAAAAAAAAAAAAAAAAAAGGCTACTCCAAAGACAGAGTAGACTCAAGGGCTTGATGATAGGCTAAACAAGGGGTAGATTATTCATGCCTCCCCTTTTTAGACCATATAGGATAACTTCCTGACATTGCCATGGCACTCGTAAACTGTCAGGGCACTGATGGGAGTGTAGCAGTGAGGACGACCAGGGTCACTCTCGTGGCCATCTTGGTTTTGGCAGGTTTTAGCCGGCTTCTTTACCGCAACCTGTTTTATCAGCAAGGTCTTTATCACCTGTATTTTCTGCTGACCTCCCATCACATCCTGTGACTTAGAGTGCCTTAACCGTCTGGGAATGCAGCCCAGTAGGTTTCAGTTTCATTTTACCCAGCTCCTATTTAAGATGGAGTTACTCTGCTTCACACGCCTCTGACATTTCCAATTAAAAAAAAAAATCTCAGAACATAGAACAGAGTGATGATTTTTGTCTCCTTGGATTCCATGGAGTTATTTTTTGCATGCATCTCAAGAGATAGTTAATTGGATGTATGGTAAATAGGACATATTTGGATTATACATTTGGGTTCAGGGATAACAGAGAGGTAAGAGTGGTTTCTCTGTAACTTATATTGGGAAGAAAGCAAAGGAAGTTTTTACTGGAATCTCTACTTTTTTATTTTTTAAGCATATAATATTATTGAAATGAATTTCAGTACCGTTCCACAGAGGCTGCAGCTCATGGAGGGTGCAGTGGGCGGGCTTTTTGTAGTCTCCTTTTCTCTCATGGAGTCATTTAGAAGTTTTCCTTAGTGCTGTTCTGATATTTAGGAAGAGAAAGATATAAAGATGCTTCCTAGGATGAAAATAAACTGAACAGGTTTCCTGTAGTCTCACCTGGACCTCTCCTGCAATCCAAAACCACAACAGCCTTCACACAGAGTAATACAAATGCAAATTATCATGAGCTCCTCTCTTTTCAGCAAAACATTTTATAGTGACAGAAGATGAGAAGAATGGTTAGCTGGACTGAAGAAACCCTTTCAAAGTTACTGACTTTTTTTTTTTTCATTTCATTTCAATTCAATTCAATTCTCTATTTTTCCTGGCAGGTACTTATTATCTCTCTTTCAGAGAAAAGTATTTTCCTTCTCCTTCTTTAATCTGACTTTTAATATATTTGAAAGCAGTCTGCTTTTGGGAAGAAAAATAGTTGTGTGTATATATGTGTGTGTGTGTATATAAATATGTATGTATATGTATATATAGAGAGAGACAGAGACAGAGAGATCCTGAGAGTTTAAGAGAAAAAGGTCTGACACTTTCAGCTAGTAACCGCAGCAACAGCTTTGCTTTTTTAATGTTATGGTATTTGAAATTGTATACAATTTATTTCTGTAAACAAAAAACCAAAAACAAAACAGATTTAAAAATTTTCTTAAAATGCCTTTATGTGTATAAACAATTTTTAGAAAAATATTGGCCTGGCACAGTGGCTCACGCCTGTAACTCCAACACTTTGGGAAGCTGAGGCAGGCGGATCAAGAAGTCTGGAGATTGAGACGATCCTGGCCAACATGGTGAAACATCATCTCTACTAAAAATACAAAAATTAGCTGGGCATGGTGGCGCACGCATGTAATCTCAGCTACTTGGGAGGCTGAGGCAGGAGAATCGCTTGAACCAAGGAGGCAGAGATTGCAGTGAGCTGAGATCGTGCCACCGCATTCCAGCCTGGGTGACATAGCAAGACTCCATCTCAAAAAAAAAAAAAAATTGTGTGTAAAGTTTGAACGCAAATTGTGTTTATCAATGGAATATATTTTCATTGTGTAAATAGATTCTTCAAGCAATGAAGTCCTTCTCAATATGGTTCCTCTGAATAGTGAATTTTCCAGTCCATGTAAAATATCTTTAAAAAATTTATATATCTATATATATCAGAAAAAAATTGGACATAATGATGTATAAGTGTATCAACATTTGCCAACTAGAGTAAACTAGAGCATATTATAATTATATTTAATCAGTGATGCCAGTTTCCATGATATGCAATCAGTATAGAGAGGTGAATAAAATAACCCTTAATTTTAATGGGGTTATAATCTGATGCAAGGAAGAATCACATATACATGTCACTTCAACACAGAAAGATGCAAATATGAATTCAGGAAATAAATTCAGCAAGAAAGAGATTGTTTCCAGCAATAGTTAAATCATTGAGTTTCATCTAAGCTAAGTATTAAAAGGCTATGGTATATGGAGAATATGACTGTGCAACTGTTCTAGTTACAAATGAATGTCATAACCTGTAATTGTTTTGTATGTTTCATGCTATGTTATACTGACTATATTCTGCCATTGGCTAGTTTAAGCTGCTAGTAGTTCTTAGTAGACCATTTTTAAATAACACAAGGAAATGGAAATAATGAGAAATAACTAGCTAATGAGGTCAGTTTGTCAGAGTGCATTCTGAGATCATGGACCAGGACTTCCACCGCTTTCATTTCTAGTACAGAAAGTCACAAGACAAATTTGCTCTGGCTTAAGAATAAGAAAAGTCATATTACCTACAAAAATCATGCTTTTAAGCCTGTCAGAGAACTAAACATTTCAAAGTGATGAGGCACCCTTGGAAGCAAAGAGCCCTCTGGCTGCTTTTGTCCACGGCCCAATAGCTGGAGTAAAGAAAGCTGCTATAGATGAAGGAAGGAAGATAGAACATTTTCAAAATTTTAAAAGGCTAAGTGTGAGTTGGCATAATGGTTTATAATACCGAGGAACCCAGACACAAAGAGAGTCAATACCCACCCATCAATTCTTTCTAAGCCTTTTCCTGAGTGCTCACAAGATCAGGGCAGGGGAACTGAGAGAAGCCCTTTGGGCCATCAAGAATGTCATGAAACAGTGGTCTCTCATAGCCAGGGGAGGGCAAGAAAACTCCAAAGTGTGAAAGAGGTGTCAAAAAACAAAGAAACCCTCTGGGCCTATCACTGAGCTTGGGACAGGAACCATTTAACCTGAGGAAGGGCATCAGAGAAGACAGATGCAGGGTCTTACAATGATCATGAAGCAGAATCAGCCTGTGGCTGAGACTGAAGACAAACTGCTAAGAGAAACCTCACCCCCAGCTCAAGGCACAATTTACAACAGGCTGCTCAAACGCGAGGGTGTGGTGGAAAAATGAAGGAGAATAATCTTCAAGAACTGACTTGTTGTGACTAGTATAGTCATAAGAGCAGAGTGAAATCTTCCAGAGGCACTGGTATATAGGATCTATAAAGGTTAAAAGCAGGGCAGGAGAAAGGGGCAAACCTGTAGATACTCAGTTCTCAAACCTTGTTAAAAGACAGTTTCTAGTTTCACAGTTAAATTATTTGAAGCCTGTAATAAACTGCATCTAACTAGAGTAACAACACAGTGAAAACCCAACTCATCTACAGACTATATTGACATTAGTGGCCTGACAACAAAAAGAACATGACCCTCTTCTGGAAAAAAAATACCACTTTTTCTTTCTCCAATATTCCTTTATACATAATATCTGATGTTCAATTATAAATCGTGAGACACTTATAGAAGCAAAACAGTGAGACTCATTTTCCAGATGAAATTAGTTAATACAAGATGCGGCTGAGATACTGGAATTATTATTACTGAAATAAGAGCTGCAGCAGCTATTTAAAAGGTTAAGGGATCTAATAAAACATGTACAACATGGCACATGAACTGACCAGAAATCACATTAGAAAGATGGCAAGTTTCAAAAGAGACAAACCTTAGTGCTGGAATTAAAATACAAATGGAGGTTTCTTGTGAGAGGTTTATCAACAAGTAGATCCAGCGAAGGAACAAATTAATGAACATAAAGACAGATCAATAAAAAATATTGATACAATAAAGAGTAAAACAAAACAAACCAGCAAACAAAAAGATTGATATTTGTGGAACAGTAGCAAATGGCCTAACATGACATATGCATATTTGGTATCTGAGGAGAAGAGAAATAGAATAAAGTCAAAATGAATATAGAAGATATAATTCCCAATAATTTTCCAAAACTGATGGAAGACATCAAATCACAGTTGCAAAAATTTGGCAATTATCCAGCAGAAAGGAGAAGGAGAAAGCGGTATCTAGAAAAATCATAGTCAAATTGGTGAAAGCCGACAATGAAGAAAATGTCATGAAATCAGTCAGAAAAAAAAAAAGGTGGTTGATCTCACATTAGAAAGAATAAAGACTAGAATAAAATGGAATAATATATTTTAAGTGCTTAATAGAAAGATAATTCTTTGATAGCCAGCAAAATAGTTTCCTACCAACACCCCCCCAAAAAATAGTGAAATAAAGACATTTTAAAAGTTTGTCTCCAGCAGACCTTTAAAATGAAAAATGCTAAAAGAAAACTTTTAGCCTTAAGAAAATAAAAATAAGAATGAAACCCCATTTGGGAGCAAAGGGATGATAAACACTTGAAGGGGTACAAATGTAAGTAAATTTGTACCTACATTTGGCCTTTTAAATTTTTTTTAACACACACACACACTACAAACACACACATGCACACACATATATGCATATCCATGTGTGTATAGCTTATATATTTATTTAAATGACTAGTGACTACTTAAATACAAGATGGAAATAATGTGTTGCGGGGTATAAGGGTTTATCAAGAAAATATTTGACAATAAAAGCAAAAAATAGTGGAATAGTAGTTAAAAATTTACTATTGTAAAATTCCTAATTCTTCAAGAAATAATAGAATATGTCACAGTTATAAATATCCATACTGATATATCTGTAACAAGTACTAAAATACACACACAAATACACATAAAGACACAGAAAGGCATAACTAAAATAATAATATAAGGATGGAAAATAGGAAACTAAAAATATACTCAGTTCATCTAAAGGAGGCAGAAACGGAAACATGGAGGAAAAAAACAGATATAACAAATTTAAAACAAACAAAAATATGTGAACTTACATATTGCCAAAATTGGATTAAATATAAATGATCTGAAAACAACAATTATAAGAATCAGATTGCAATTAACCCTGCAAAACATAATCCAACTACATCCAATTTACACACACACACAAACACACACACACACACGAAGTCTTTAAAAATAAGACACTTTTGGCTGAGTGTGGTGGCTCAGGCCTGTAATCCCAGCACTTTTGGAGGCCGAGGTGGGTGGATCACATGATCTTGAGTCCGAGACCAGCCTGGTGTCAAACTCCGTCTCTACTAAAAATACAAAAATTAGCCAAGTGTGGTGGCGCATACCTGTAATCCCAGCCACTCAGAAGGCTGAGGCAGGAGAATTGCTTGAACCCGCGAGGCGGAGGTTGCAGTGAGCCTAGATTGCACCACTGCACTGCAGCCTGGGTGACAGAGCAAGACTCCGTCTCAATAAATAAATAAATAGACTCTTTCTTTTTTTTTGTTTTGTTTTTTATCTTGAGACAGTGTCTCACTCCGTCACCCAGGCTGAAGTTCAGAGTCCAGCGGTGTGATTATAGCTCACTTTAGCCTTGAACTCCTGGCCTCAAGCTATCCTCCTCCTATTTCAGCCTCCCACAGTGCTGAAAGTACGGGCGTTAGCCACCCTGCCCAACCAGGCAGTTTAAAAACAAATAGATACAAAATAATATATCATGTAAATACTAACCACGAGAAGATTGTGGCAATTTTAATATCAAACACAATAGACTGAGAGGAAGATAAGCACTAGAGATAAAGAAGGATTTTTTTAACAACAAAAGTCAATTCACCAGGAATAAATTTCAATCCTAAATGTATATCCTCATAATAAAAAAAGCAAGAATTAATGAAATTAAAGGGAGAAACACAAACATACATAATAATAATTGGAAATTATAATTCCTCTCTCTCAGTAATTCATAGCCCATCCATGAATAGTGGCATACAGATTCTGCTCATATTCATATACAACATTCACCAAGTTAGACCACCTGATAAGGCACAGAATTTTTCTCAATAAATTTTTAAAATTTTAGATTATGAATCAAAGACAAAATAAAGTTGTAATACACTTTACTCATGATATCCACCTGTGACAGACAATATAGGAAATTTTACTCATATAAATTGCTATAGGTGAATCTAAGTTGCCACTATCTTTTAGAAAAACATGTACATTATTTTTATGTTAAAGTGCCAATGTTATTTGATCCTATAATCAATGCAAAATAAAAATGCTATTATCAAAATGAATCAAACATTTTAAGTTGAAAAAAACTGCAGTGTACATCAACATAGACATGACTATAGTGTTATTATATTTATACTATGAATTAATTGCGTGCTTTACAAAGGAATTGAGAAGTTCTATATGCTTTCAAGGAAAATTTTTTATACTATGTTATTATCATTGCAGAGCTGATTGTGTGCATCTCTGCCCAACACTGAAGCTTGAAGTCCGTATATTACACATGTAGTAAAGTTATATTCTTGCTTTTAAAAATAAGATCATATTTTTTATCTTTGTTTAACAAAAAAAGAGTCAAGGAGGCAGTCAAGAGTGTTATCACTGGTAACATCAGATGTGGTTTTGGAAAATATTGGACAAATATACTCTTTGGGTAAATTATTTAAATAGATAATCTTTATTGTTTAATTAATAACAGTGAACATATTGTTTTATAAAATGAGTAACAATTTTAAAAATTATTTATTATATTTATTTGAATATTTCAAAAGGATATGTAATTTTATGATATATAATTATGTAAGATATACAAATACATATAATTTGAACATATACATATTTAGACTTGTATAATTTAAGCAAATATTTATGTAGGTATGTTTAGTAAAATGAGCATATGGGGACCCACTAGACATTATCAATAATTTGCATCTTCCTATGTACCCACTGTCTAGAGTTTTGTATTGTTTATTATTACTTTACTTAATTTTTTATTACTTATAATATATAAAACATGTTAATGTGTCTAAACAACATGCTATTGTCTTAGATTTTGAATAAAAATGGTTTCATACTATAGTGTTCTTATATGCCTTACATACTATATGCCATATATATTCTTATACAATATATATATACTCGCATACTGTATACTTATGCTATTATACATGTCTACTATATATGCTTATTTACCATATATATTTTTATATATAACAGATACCATACACACACACACACACACACACACACACTTATACATTATAGAGTTCCCTATATACACCCATGCTTTCGCATGCAGCTGCAGTTTATTTTAACAGACATATGTGAATTAATACCTATTAGCTTGTTGATTTGAAATGATGAACACTGGGGTTGTTTCCAATGTTTGGCTCTTGCAAATATTGGTGCTATAGTGCATTATGGGGAGTGAAAGTCAAGTGACAACATTTCTGCAAAAGGGCTATGTAAGTACTTGAATTTACAGTAGTATTATTAAAATGGTTGCACCAATTTTATAAATCAATATGCAGAAGCTCCAGTGAATGAAAATCCTCTCACTAACTTTCTATTATCAAACTATATGATTTTTGGCAATCTACTGAGCATAATTTATATGTTTTTGTTTTTCTTGTTATTAATAATGCATCCATTCGGCATAATTTATACATGTTTATTCTTCTGATTATTAATAAATCTTTTTAAAAGCATATTGGTTGGTTATACATATTTGCTCCATTGTAAAATGTCTGCATTAATTTTATTGGTTTTAATTTAATTTTTTTCTTTTCTAAATGATATATAGTAGCTCTTTATATATTTTATACTAAACCCTTGTCAACTCTCCTGTGACTTTCATCTCTAATTTGTAAATCTTAATTAACACTTCTTAATTTTAAGGTAATAAAATGTATCCATACTTTTTGTAAAGTCTGCATTTTTTATCTTATGTGAGAAATTCTCTACTACAAAGTTAGAAGCTATCCTCATATTCTCCTATATATTCTTCTAGAACTTTTCAAGTTTCACTTTTTCAAATTTAAGTTCTTAATCCATCTGGAATTGATATGTACATTTGAGCCATTTTAGGGAACTAATTTGTTTTACTATTTTTTAAATGTATTATATATGTAAGGTATTGTCCCAGGATCATTTGGCAAATAATCCCTAGTTTCTCTACCAATTTGCCTTAGTCAAACAATCCCGTACAATCATATCCTAGTTTCATATTTTCTCTACACCTAGTTGGTTAACTTGTTCATCTCAGTTTCAGTACAACACTCTTTGATTTACTATAGCTTCATATACAAAATTCTCAAAAAAATTGTAAGTAATTTTGCTTTTCTAGAAACTTCTCTTCCATATAAATTTGAAAATCCATTTACTAAAGTTTTGTTAAAAATACTACTAAATCTTTCTTAAAATTATGTTGAATCCTTTAATCAATTTGAAAATAACTAATATATTTACAATACTAAAATCCTATTTTCTAAGAATATGAGCTAAACTTCCCAGTTTTAGAACTTTGTAAATATCTTTGCTGTTTAATATTTTACTTATGTTTACTTTTATATTTATTCATATCTGTCAAATAATATCTATAGATTTTTTTAAAAAGGTACATTTTAAAATTCACACCTTGTTCTTGCAATATGAAATTGCAACTGATTTTTATGTAATACTTCTTATAACTAATCACATTGATAAATTCTCATTATTCAAATAATGAGTCTATACATCTTTTGAATTTTCCAGTTAGAATGTTAGTTTTATTTCTCTCCCTATGATTATTTGCTTTTGATTTATTTTCTTTCTTATACTCCTTTGGCTGGAACTTGAGTACGATGTAGACTAGAACCTGTAATAATATCAACTGTGTTATATTCCATGTTTTCAAATAAATTATTTTCTAAGATTCTCAATTATGTTTGCTATTAATTTTTAAAATATATTATTTATTACATTTAAGGCTTGCTGTATTGTTATGAAATATATTGAATTTTAGAAAATCTTTTTTTTGTAACTATGAGATGATTGTATTATTTTTTTCCTAGGCTATTAATGTGGCAGTGGCATTTATAACTTTCAAATGTTACAATACTCTTGCATTCCTTTTATAGTCTCAATTTTGTCATGGTGTATTAAATATTTTTAAATATTTAAAATTTTATTTTAAAAACACTGCTACATTCCAGTTGCTAATATTTTTAAGGATTATGGCATCTGTATTTATTATTATGAGTGAGATAGGATTTCAGTTTTCCCTTAACAAAACACTACAAAGGTATACTAAGTTACAACCATTTATTCTATGAGGTTAAAATTCACTTCATATGATGAGTTTGACTATATGTACCCTCTTTACCAGTTGCCTAAAGGAGTTTGTATAACAATAGTCCATTCCTTGAGATTTTGGTAAGATGTGTCTATTGATCAACACCCAGTGTTCTATTTATTAAATTTGTTAACTATTGTTTCCTTTAATTTTCTTTTCAATCAATTTTATATTTTATTTGTTCTAGACATTTGAATATTTAATCCATGGTTTCATATGCATCTGCATATACTTTTCTACGTTCTTGCATGGTTTTATCACTTCTCTTTTTGTAAATGTTTTCATTTGTATTTACTTCTTCCTTCCCTAGTTATCTTAATCAATCTTGCTAGAAATTTGGCATTTTATTAGCATTTTTTGGAGACGCAAGTTGTAGCTCTGTTTATCCTCTCTATTCTATCTGTTTTCTTGATTGCTGTTATTCAAGCTAGTTGTCCATCTATTACCTCTTAGCCCAAATCTAGTCTTCACTGTCCTTCTTGTGATACTGCCAGATCTCTCTCTTCCCGGCTGTCTCAAAGCCCTATGAACAGAGGGCACAGGAGAGATGCTTCAGATGAAAGAGGCATTATCTTGCAGATTCTGGTGTGCTTTCTAGCTTCCAGTTCTAGAAGGTGTTTGGTTGATGTGTGGGACACCCAGTGACTCTCACCCTCAGCATGTTTAGCAATACCAATGCAGGTAGCTTCACTATAAGTTCCATGGGTGCCCTCGCTAGCTTCCCAGTATTGAGTTCAGCAGTCCTCCTCCTACCCTACTGCACTTCACCTGGCCACATTACACAGGTGACTTCCTAACAAGTTTGAAAGACTCCTTCCTTATGAGTTTCATTAACCCCTCGGAGAGGAGCCCCAGCCCCTGGCTCCCTGACCAACAGTATAAGCCTGCAGACTGCAGGGCAACCCAGGCCTGGGGCAACCCGACAAAGTTCTCTGCTCTCCAGAGTTGGCTCCAAGCGCACCCTCTCCAATAGATCCTGAATTCCAGCCTTAAGAAGGAGACCCTCTACCATGATTCTTCCCTCCTTGGGTTCATTCCCATAGCCCTAAAATATTCTCATAGTTCTCTTTTTACTCCCTAGTAGTAATTAATTCCTTGTAAATAGTTAATGATTCTTTATAACTTACAACACTTGTGTGGTTTCTGTCTCATAAAACATTGTTTTTATTATCTACTTACTGCTTTCTTTTAGTTTTTAAAATTAGGTTTTTTAGCATCTAACTTTGAAAAATCAGCTTATTATTTTTTAGCCTTTTTGTCTTTTGTAAGCATTTCAGGTTACAAGAATCCCTCTAAGTACTGTTTACTGCCTCACATATATTTTGAAATAAATATTTTGAAATTTTCTAAAATGATGTATTGCTTTTCCCATTAATAGTTTTGTCATTGATACCCAAGTTTTTATTAGTGTTTTTTTAATTCCCATGGTCAATTTTAATTTTAATTGCACCAATATCGTGATAATTTTAGAAATGTCCTGATATTTGGAGAAAAATATTTTTTTAAACTGAATAATATGACTTCATGATACACACACCCCATGTGTGATATACCTAGAGTGGTATATGGGTTTGTGTGCATCTGGTGTAAACAGGTAAACTAGATTGTGTAAATGCTGATAAGTTCTCTGATGAAATTAAAATTATGGAATAGAATAAAAGGTTATGGGAAGAAATGGCTTATCTTAGGTTGAATGGGCAAAGATAGTCTCTCTTATAAGGTTACATTTGAACTGGGCAGGGATATCTTGACTTTTGACTCCAGTAATTGTGGAAGAAGGGTCGGACTTGTTGCTGGGTGTGATGATCCGTTTAATCAGCTGAAAGGAAGATCCTTTAACGTATCTTTTCTCTTCTTGGAGCACTCTTCCTCTCCTTCTTCACTTGTTTACTTTCCTGTTGTGTTGATATTCATTCCTTCCTCCTTGGTTTTAGTCAGTAGGTTATCTTCTCTATGATTCAAGTGCCCCACTTGGAGGAGAGAAAGGTGTGTCTGCTCTGTGTCAACCAAATGGAAGAGATATAATAAATAAAAATAAATGTGATACCTCAACAAATTCTCCAAAGTCTCCCCTCAGGAATCAACATATATTACCTGGCCAGGCAGGTTGACTCATGCCAGTAATCTCAACATTTTGGGAGGCCAAGGCAGCAAGATTCCTTGAGGCCAGGAGCTCGAGACCAGCCTGGGAAACATAGTGAGACCCCATTTCTACAAAAATTAAAAAGATATATGGCTTGGCATGTTCGTGTGCAACTGTAGCCCTAGCTACTCGAGAGGCTAAGGAGGGAGGATCACTTGAGCCCGGAAATTTAAAGCTGCAGTGAGCCATGATTGGGCCACTGAACTTCAGCTTGGGTGACAGAGAAAAACTCTGACTCCAAAAAATATGCATATAAAACAATAACACCTACCTACCTCTATAGCCCTAGAATCACACCTATTTTTTTCTTAATCTTCAGTTCATGTCAGCACACTTTAGGCTCTGAATTATTCTTAAATACAATCTCCTTCAACTGCCATCTTTCATGGAATCACCATAGTTTTCATTCAAGCAGGATTAGATTAAAAACAATAATTCTCTCTGGACATGGTGCCTCACTCCTGTAATCCCAGCACTTTGGGAGGCCAAGGCAGGCAGATTGCTTGAGCTCAGGAGTTTGAGACCAGCCTGTGCAACATGGTGAAACCCTGTCTCTACAAGAAACAGAAAAATTAGCCGGGCATGGTGGTATGTGCCTATGGCCCCAGCAGCTTGGGAAGCTGAGGTTAGGAGGATCACTTGAACCCAGAAGGTCAAGGCCACAGTAAGCCATGACAGCACCACTGCACTCCAGCTTGGGTGACAGAATGAGACTCTGTCTCAAAAAAAAAAAAAAAATTCTTCTGCATTTAAACAGAAGGGAAAGACAGCCACATGTGCTTAGTGTGCCTTCCCTATTTCATTAGTTCTTTGCTTAAATCTACATGTAAATCTTCTAAAATACAGTACTTTAATGTATTTTCTCATCAAAAGAAGATGTGTAAAGAGAGTACTTAATAACAAACAATTCTTATTTTACTTTGAATTGTATTACTAACTTTATTCAGAAATTTGGGTTCTTTAAAAACTATAGTAGACTTCTACAGACTTACGATATTTTTTCTTTTATAATATCAAAGAAACAACAGCTGTTGTTGAATTGAGTATGTTGTTCCTTCACCATCAGTGTTATTGTACTGGCCTTCACCATTTTAGTCACATCTTTTATATATATATTTATAAAGGACACTTTGAATACTAATTTTTTTTATCCAAGGTGAAACATAGCCTAATGTGGCATGATTTACAATCAAAATTTTTGTTCTTTCCAGTCCATCATTCCAGACATTGATGAAAGCATAAAACTCTAAGTTTAAGATTAATCCTATAGGACACTAGTTACATTCCCTGCCTCCCATCTGACCCCTGTTTATTGCTTTCTGATTATAATTTGCTGACATAATAGCTATGTAATCTAAACTGTATTTTATGAGTACATTGATAAGAATATTAAGCTTAAATATACTATGGACTAGGGACTCAAAAACCTTGCTAATGTTATATTAATGTTAGTACATCACAGTGGTATTTATGAATACCCCAAATCTCTTGGAGTTTCACTTGGCAGTAACTCAAGGTAAAATAGTAAGGAAGTTACCCACCATCTGTCAGTACAGCTGGATGAGGGTAACAAGTTCATAACAATGGGAAAACAAATTCAAAGCAATGGGTGATCATTGGTGACATTTCAAGAAAGGCTTTGGCTATAGGATACCATTAAAAAAATCTAAACTCTGGCTTCATGATACTCACAAATATCTATTTTCCTCTATTGCTGGTTAAATATTTCGGTAAATAATCCAAGAATATTATTACTACAGTGGTGAAATGTTTTTCTATGCTTAGCTTTCAAGAGCAGAAGAGCAATTTTAATATTCAATAGGCATTCTTGCTATTTCACAAGTATTGATAAGTAAATAATTTCCTCACAGGTATCAATAGAGTAATATCTTAAAACCTTGTATAAAAGGTTATCCATTAAAAAAATTGATACAGACTAAAATGATTAACAAAAAGACAGTTACAAAGTAAGCAGTAAATTTTCCCAAATACCAGTAGAACTTCCACACCTCTATACCATTCAAACAGTTTAAATAATTTGCAACCCTTTATTCTACATATGTTAGACTTGTCTTTAGTCCTATTTGTATCAGAATGAATTGCGGGAAACAGAAAATATTAGCAGAAAAAGATGTAATGAAAATAAGCTGGGTATTGCAAACCATCAGATTGACCAAAGGAACTGAAGTTATCACTGAATATTAATTTCAAGATCTCACTACTACAACAAGTTAAAGATCAGGAATCTGAGTCTACTGTGTTCACCTTACCACAAATCGTTCTCACTTTCACAGATAATGTATCAAACATATTTTGGATTTTTTTTATTGGTTTGCTACATATTTTATATAGAATATATTTATGAGAGAAGTGTATATTAGTTTCTGTAAGAGAGTTTCTTGAAGGTAGCATCTTTTCAATAGCAGGATAATTGAAATGTAAGGAACAAATAAACTCACTAAAAAAAGCTAGAAGTGAAGACAATGGTTAAGACTTAGAGTTGAACTGTGATTTTAGCATATGCCATTTTCTATCCTCTTGACTACCTTTGTGAACAATGGAACAAAGTGTGGCTCAGACAATAAGCAAGTCATTGTAGTTACCAGAGATGAAAAATTCATGGAACAAAGAGTGTGGGAGAAAGTATACAGTAAGTTGATGATTTTTTACTTATTCCACATGCATCATATCTTCCTGAATTTTTGCATATCTCATAATTTTTAATTGTCTATTTGACATTCTGAGTGATGCATTTGAGAGAGCATAGATTTTGGTTTTTTTTTTTACTTTAAAAATTGAGTTTTGTAATAGCAGGATTTAAAAGTACTAAAATTCATCTTGATTTTCTCTGACTCAGTTTAACTCTTTTATTTTCTTTTTATTTCATTGTCTTTCTCTCATGAGTATTAGGAAATTGCAGTCTAGGGCTTAATCTTTATTTTAATGTCTCACCTTTCAGAACTCTCATCTAGAAGTCTTGAAGTCCTCAGCAAGATCTTCTCAATCTGGTTTGGGAGAAACACCAACATATACCAGCACAACAAAATCCCAGTACTTTTGATCATCCCAATGGCTGCATCAAGTATTCCCTGTGAGACCTGTAAGGCTTTGTCCTTGACATGCACAGCTGAGTCGTTACCAAAGAGCCAAGGAGATTCCTGAAGCACTCTTCTGGAGATACCTCCTAATAATGCCCGCTTTCTCTTATATGCACCACCACACATATTCTAACTACTTCAGCAAGATTGCACGTTATCTCTGCCTCTTCAGCTCAGCAAGACTGCAGCTGGCTGCATGAGTTCCACCTTCCTAAGCCACGGTCTGGAAAAATGTTCCTAAGAAGGTTGCCAGGGTGAGAGTGCTGCTCACTTGATTTGCTTCTTTGAGTTCCAGGATCACAGTCCTGTTTTGTTGTCTAATAGCTTTTTAAAAAGAGGGCTTATGTTCATACATTCGGTTCAGTTTTAAAATTCTTTACAATGGGAAAGTAAGTTTCATGAGAGTTTATTTACAGGTGAATTTAGTAAGGGTAGCCACATGGACAAAAACTGTACAATGTTAGAGTATTTCCTAAAGAAAATTTTAAAATTTTAAAGTGTATTTTAAATACACTTTTGTTTGGAAAACCAAAAAGCCCAAACTTATTTTAATGTTGTATTTTTTATTCTTTCTTTACCTTTTGGACAAGAAAAAGACTTGAATAATTTCATGACTTATACTACATTCCCATTCTTCATTCCATTCATATGTAGTTTATTATTATATTGGAACACATTGTTAGAAAACTCAAATACTCAACCCTATTGTGAATAAGTTAGACTAAAATCACTTTTTCTCTGATAAAAATGAAATTAAAGATACAATACTTATCTTTCTGTAACCACCACTTAATATTATTTTCATATTTTTGAGATATTAGTAAGATTATATCATACACTGAAATAAAATATTTTATTTAAATGACAATAGAAATATATTAAAAACTTTATAAATGGTTACAAATTCCCTTTGTTTCATGTCTTTTCATCTGTTCATATAAAATTTCTAGTAAAATACCTGCAGCCCACCTACACCAGTAAGAGTTTCTCCAGATCGCTAATGATGTCTCAGTAGTCCTCAGAAACAAATCCATTTCCACAGTATACCTACTATACCACTATATGTCACCAGTATGCTATGTGGGTCTACCTGGCTTAGATGTCCCAGACTATCATAATCCCCACTGCTTTCCCATGTCAGGTGCTAAAGCTGCTCTACTTCGTGCAAATTCAAATAACCTAAGTTCTACTCAGAATTACTGCTCTCTCAGACAACTAAAATATTTCCCAAGGGTCAAGCTTAACACTACTAGACCCCTTTCCACTAAAATGGGTTCTAACCAAAAACATTCTTTAACATCTTTTCTAACAAAACACACACATATACACATCTCTTAGTTCTTCTTTTCTGTTTTCTGGGCATGTCAGTGGAGAATTATATCAAAACGTCACTGCTATACACAAGTTAAGTAAATTTCTAGGATGAATCTTGGCCCCTATACAAATAGTCTTCTAAGGCTGATGAATCCACCTTGTTGAATCACTTTGGTTTTGTTAAATTCTGCAGAAGAGTGACTGAAAAAATAAGGCTCAAATTGACACTGTGCTGCACTAATAATAGTTATTTTTAATACCATTTACAAAATGAATCTTATGTGTTTACATTTACAGAGGCTAATATATGAAATTGACAGAGCAATATATCATGATATTTAAGAGTACAGCATTTAACTTGAGATAAATTAAACTTTGATTCCTGGTTTATTCATCTACTCCTGTGTGATAATTTCGCAAATTATTTTCTTTTCTAAATACTGATTCTTTCACCTGTAAAATAATACCTTATAGAGTTGATATCAGCAATATATGAACAATGTCTTAAAGCACCTCAAGCATACCTAGAATAACATAGTGACTCAGTGGATAATAGGTATTGGAGGTCGTGGTAATGGTAATAGTAGTACAATTAATAATAGTTGGAGATAGTACTGGTGACGGTAGTACAGTAATAATAAGAGCAGTAATCGATGTATTTTCTAGACATCTCAAGTACAGAGAATGGTTTGCAATTCAGTACCAAAAGCTAAGAAATTAGATGTGTCCTTTTATAATATGATATATGCATTCTGTAAACTCTGACATTAACTATAAAGAGACTATGAGAAAATAAAATTGGGGCAATTAATTCAAAACAAATGCAGCTTTGTAACTAAAGCTCTATCAAAAACATAGCTTGAAAGTTTTAAGTTCCTAATAAGTCATTAAGAATACTACAGAAACACAGAACTTTATTTTAAAATAATAGAAAGATGAAGATAGAGTAATAGAGTGTAAGGAAGAATTGTGGTTACTAAGTAATGGAAACAAAAGCAAGACTCACAAGTCTAGGTAGCCAACAGGAAGAACACGGAGAGTATGGTGTTATGCACAGCACTCTAGCTCTTTGTCTCCTGCTGCCTCCTATTTTGCTAATACGTTTTGCATTTAGCTTCTACTACTTAGTGGCACACCAGAGTGACATGTTAGAAAAAATCATGTATAAACCGGTAAAACACCAGTAAGGTGCATTTCTCTATTTACCAATCACAAATGAACTAAATATGCATTGTAACACAATAGATTATATTAAGTGCTTTAAAATTGGTTACGGTAAAGAAAAAAACTGTTGCTTACAGCAATACAGAACAAATAGCGAAATGAGTTGCTGCTGAAAAGCTACTAACAAATTTTTGTATTTTTTTTCTGCTATATGTAGAAAAGGGTTTGCTAAGCCTAAAACTTAGCAGTTTTTAATATAAGGACTATGAAAAATATTGACTGGTCTCTGGTATAAAATTTGCATAATATTAAAAAAATTAATGAGTTAACATATAGAATTAATTTTGACTTGAATATATACCACAAGAATTTGGATTTATTGGATAAACAATTTAGTAGTAAGATATAGGGTTGAACATTTTTCTTCAACTTCGATTTTGTGTGTGTGTGTGTGTGTGTGTGTGTGTGTGTGTGTTTCTTACACTGAGGACATTACTAGCATTGGATTTTTACACATAATATAATACTATGAAATTTACTTAATAATAGAGTATCAAATATATTTCATAAGTTTTCTTTCATATAATTTCATATAGAGAAACCAATTTATCAGAGAATTATGAAGTTATTCATTAGGTAATTTAACTGTTATTTAGCAAAAACTCTTAAAACACTTCTCCAGAGACAGCGTTCTGAGAAATAGGATATGACAATTAATATTTTATCTCATAATTATATTTAATCATTAATAACATAATATAAAATACAGAAGTAGTAATGATCACACTCTGTAATTGTAATTATAACTTAGAATAACAGTAATGTAGAAATGGATATCATATTTATTTATGTCCTTTCTTATTGAATAAAGTATTTGAGATGGCATAAATTACAAAATGTGAGTATTCAATGATCAGAGAATAAGGTGACAAAATGAAGGGAAAGCCTATAGTTGCTACAAAAGTAAACTACTTTGTTCTGAGTTCTGTTACATTCAATACAGAATAAAAAAGAGAGATTGAAACATAATGGCTTACATATCCCTAATTAGCTCATAAAATCATAAAATGGTAACATACCTTTATAAAATATTAATGTTTTCCTATCATACTATTTGCAACTTTTGGTCACAAGCATCAAATAATTGCTTGCTTTGTTAGTTAAGATATAAAATAGATGTGTATTGTAAATAACAAGGCCAGTTTGAAGAGTCAAAGGACAGGAAAAGATTTGGGCTTTTGAAATAGAGGCATAAAATGGCAAGTTCTAGGAAACACAGAAAATTTTCTCTTGACCTCTCTTCTCTGGTCCACTGTTTATCTACACTACTATCTTTCCTCCAGAAAAAGGAGAGATGAGGGGAATGTTTAGAGGTAGTAATGTAATCCAGTATCAGCAAGACAATGTAAACTACTATAACAAACATTCCTTGAAATATATAATGGCTCGAACATACTATAAACTTTTTTCTTATTCTTGTAAAGTCAAAAATGAGATGTTATTCAAGAACCCAACATCTCTTTATCTTGCCACTCTGTTCCAAATTAGTTTTCCATTAACAGGATACTCTCCTACAACTAGATGGTAGAAGGCAAGAGAACAGAAGCATGGGAAGCATGCATAAGTAAATCCTGCAAGTGATGCAAACTTCCACTCCTGGTCCATTGCTAGGACTCATCACATGGCCACATTTAAATGCAAGGGGTTGGGGGTTTTATTCGGACATATGGCCCAGAACAAAGTGGAACACGTTTCATGAATATCTAAGAGGACTCTATCAGAAAACCTAATAAAGAAGGGAGTCAAGAAACTCCACCTAAAATTTAAAAAGTAATAATTGAGGTTTCATTGTGTTATTTGAAAACATTGTGATAACCAAGATAAATTAAAATTGTAAAAGGGGAAGAGTAATGTAGTATAGTAAATTGAGCAAAACTCCTATTTTATATGTGTCTATAACAAATGTCAGTCTGAATTACCCTCCCTCATCTAAAAAAGTTGTTCTTCCTGTAAAGGGGAGAAAGAAAAACAGAAAAATGTCAAGGAGTTTCTCTTTGCGAGTTGGGACCTGATAATGTGGGCACGTACTGGGAAGGTGGGGTTTGGAATGTTTTGTTTGCTTGTTTTTAAATAAATCTTTCTATATTATTTATTTTATACTATGTGTATGATAAAAATGAAAATAAAATATTAAAGAATGCATTAGTTTTCTGTTGCTGCTGTAAGAATTTCCAAAACTCAATTACTTGAAACAACAAAAATTTATTATTTTACATTTCTGTAGTATAATGTGCAACACAGGTGCAATGTGCAACACAATGTGTAACAATGCACAACACATTTGTGTAGTATAAAGTGCAACACAGGTCTCCACAGAGGTTGCCATTTCCTTGCCAGCTGACAAATGAAGGCTGTTCCCATCTTCTGGGCACAACCCTTACTCCCTGGCTCATGTTTCCCTTCCTCCTTCTTAAAAGCTAGAAGGGCAGGTTGAGTCCTTTCCATATTTGAATCTCTTTTTCTCATTTCTTCTCTCTGATCCACACTTCTGCTTTCCTCATCACTTTCAAGGAGACACATGATTAGGTTGTACCCACCTGGATAGTCCAAATATCTCAAAATCCATATCTTAATATATCTGCAAAGTCCCTTTTGCCATAGAGTAACTTATTCACAGGTTCGGGGGATTAGAGTGTGGTATCTTTGGGAGAGTACTATGCAGCCCATTACAGAGGAATACATCTTTCTATTCTTTGTAAGTTCACTCATTAAAGACATTTATTTTTAAAAGATAAACTGTAAACAAAGTAAATGAAAAGTTTTATTCTAATTTAAAAGAAAATATAACAATAAAATATAAATATGTGAAATTAAACGAATTAAGTGCTTAAGAGAAATTAGGAAATTAAGAATAAGAGAATTAAAACTTACAACAGAATATAAAAATTTTGAAAACATCATAAAATTAATAAGTAACAAAAACTAATTGAAATTTTAATGCTAAATAAGAATATTAATAAAAATCATAAATTGAATAGAATATTTAAACCAATGAAAATACACATAAAGTTAAATATTTTTTTCCAACTTTTTCTTTTATTTCTCACCCCCCTCCCACCCTTTCCTCCTGAGAGCCCAAAATTCATTGTGCAAAGTCTTATGACTTTGCATCCTGATAGCTTAGCTCCCACTAATGAGTGAGAACATACTATGTGTGGTTTTCCATTCCTGAATTACTTTCCTTAGAATAATAGTCTCCAATCCCATCCAGGTTGCTGTGAATGCCATTATTTTCTTCCTTTTTATGGTTGAGTAGAATTCCATCATATATATCTCACAGAGAAAGTTAAACATTGTTTTCCTACTAAAAATCACACAAAAAAGAAATTAAAAGAAGTTTTATAAAATAAGCATGGAATATTAATTCTGAAAGATCAGAAAAATGTAAATTACTGTATTCACAAACACTAAAATGTCTCAATGACCAATTTGTAACAAATAACAATATAAGCTTTACCTTCTTATACTCATCAAAGCTGCTGCTCTGAACAGAGAAACAAATGTCTTTTTTGAGGCATTTTTTCTGCCAGTTAAAAAAGGAGACAAATCAAAGAGGTCTGACAAGATTGTTCACAGTCCTGCAAAATGCAAAGCTATTTTAAAGCCTGAAGAGTCAGTGTAGCCAGATAATCAGGAACATATTAGCTCCATTGCTGAAAACTTGCCAGAGCAATTAATGAGCTCTAGAAAATGGATGAATCATTTTAGCAATAAAGGGTCTCCTTGTTACTTTATCTTGAACAGATTAATAAACAATGGAGATTACAATGTGATGATAAAATTATATTATTGATTTAAATGATTCTGCTTAACTTCTTCATCAATATAACATTTAGTTTATCTAAAAGTCATCAGGATGTTTAAATATCTTTTTAAAAGGGGAAGAACATTTCAAAATGTATTTTTCCCTATATTATTTAATTTTACTGTTAATATTACAGTTATATTAATAAAGGTTTTAGAGGAGTTTTGACTATTAGGACAGATGTATAGCAACACTTACATTTTATCATATGAGTATTTAATATCTAAGGGAGTTTTTGTGTGTTTTAATCAATAGTCAGTTTTTTAAGATTATGAGCATCAAGAAAGATTATGAATATAATAACCCATTTTCCTTTGTAACTTTAAATGCCTGCCATAAATCTAGTGATTTTTCCTATAATCTTGTATGTTTTCAAAATTAATAGTACTCAGTTCCTTTTGTTCTTTGACTGCTATTCAATTATGTTTGAAAGATTAAATTCCACTGAACAATTAATACCATTTGCAAACTTAATTCAATTTCCTTAAAACATTTTAAACTGCTAAGTTAAATTCTAAAATAGCTGAGTCTCTAAGACATTTCAAAGATCTTAAAATATAGACCAACTGTACTCAGATTTAAAAGAAAAATAATATTTGCTTATATAATTGAGTACCCTACTTATATGTAATCCCAAACAAAACTTTTGAGTGATTTTAGCTTTATTGTTATTACGCTTATACTATCATATACTAGCAAATCATTGTATCCGTTATGGTCTGGTTGTAAAAAAAACAATCTGGGATATTTAAAATACAGAGGTTTTAATTAAGGGACTACTTACAGAGATAAGAACAGGGTTAAATGGAGAGAAAATGAAAACTGCAGTACCCAGAGATTTAGACAGCTGTAAGCCCATACTACTCTTAGGGCTGAAGAAGCAAGGGAAGGAAACAGTAATAATAAGTAGTCCTGTGACAGCTGGGAGGTATTAAGAATGGGCCTCACCGTGAGAGCTACAGTTGAGAGTAAGCAAAGTTTGAGACCTAGACACCAGAGCTCTATATTAGATTGATACTCATGACTACTGGTAAATACAGAGTAACACACTTCTAGAAAGCTTTAGTGAGGTAGCTGGAAATGATATTTTTATTAAGTCAAGTGTTTTCATTAACATTTCCTTCACATTCTGGAGATACATTTTTTGCATGTATGTCCACGAAAATATGTTTATATATAATATTACTTCAACTTTTAAAATATTAAATTTGATATATAATTGGATGAGTACCTATTTAGATTTGAACTCTTCTCTTAGGTCTTCAATTATGTCCCTCCATCTTTTTGTTTGAGATAGGGTCTTGCTCTGTTGTCCAGGCTGGAGTACAGTGGTGTTATCATTGCTCATGCTTGACCTCTCTTGTCTCAAGCGATCCTCCCATCTTAGCCTCTACAGTAGCTGGAACTACAGCTGCATGCCACCACATCTGGCTAATTTTTTTTGTATTTTGTAGAGAAGGGGTTTCACCATGTTGCCCAGGCTGCTCTTGAACTACTGGGCTCAGGTGATCCACCCACCTAGGCCTCCCAAAGTGCTAAGGCTACAGACATGAACGACCGTGACAAGCCTCCCCCTAGTCTTTTATAACCCATGCATTGCATTAAACACAATTCTATTTTCATTCTCAGAGACCGCATAACTCTTCTGGGACTCTTTATTTGTATTGAACCTTCACCATAGAATTTGAACTCTTTTATATTTTTCTTTGTAAATTTTTATAGTTTTGCTCTCAGGGTTTGGAGAAATTAACTTTGGGATTAAGCATTGGCCACTGACCTCCTGACTTTGAGCTAAAAGCACCTCAGTGATTCTTTAGCTGAGATTCTTTAAGAGCAGGTGGATCTAATTGTTAAACCATTCATCACCCTGCACTGGGTTGAATGGTGACTTCCAAAAGATATGCTCACTTACTCAACACAGAACCTGTGCATGTGACTGTATTTGGAAAAAAATTTTGCAGATGTAATTAGTTAAGAATTTCTAGATGAGATTATCCTGCATTATCTGAGTGGTCCCTAAATCCAAAGACAAGTGTACTTTTAAGAGACCCAACAATGATTTCATTGAATCAGAATTTAAGATTCCCACTCAGCCGCTTTGGGCTACTTGGGCCTTGAATTAAAGACAGAAGAGGAAGTGACTCAACGAGAAGGCCATAGGAAAACCAGGGCAAAAATTGGAGTAATACACCCACAAGGAATAGTGGCAGCCATTAGAAGCTGGGAGATGCAAGAAAGTATTCCAGAAAAAGTGTGGCCATGCATAAACCTTGATTTCAGCCTTCTGGCTGCCAGAATTGTGGAGAATAAATTTCTGCTGTATTAAGCCACACAGTTCTGGTAATTTGTTGTGGCCACCCTAGGGAACGGGTACATATTTTCTTTAAATTTTGCATTCAGAAACCAATCCTGCCTCCCTAAATTATAGTCATCATGATACTCGGCAAGCTCAAATCTTTTAGATTCAATTTTGCTTACTGAACTAAAGACAAATTCTTCATCTGGTTGTATGAGCATTCTGAATAGATCCAAACCTTTTTTTCATTCAACACACAGATCATTCACTGTTCCTTGAAAATACCCCATGGTTTCCTGAGAATGTGATGTTTTTTCTATGAAAAATGCTCATTTGTTTAATTCCATCTCTGAATATTGATATCTCACCTGTTTTTTTGTAATGCTAAGAGCCATCTGTCATGGCTTAAGTCAGAAGCAGAATCTGAAATAAGGATATATGTGCTTGTGATTTATTAAGAAAATGCTCCCAAGAGAACAAAGTAAAGAAATGTAAGAAGCAAGTCAGGGAAGGAGAAGACTTCAAAGAATGTGACTTTATACCAAATTCCTACAGAGGAAAAGCTTCAGATAGGGGAACACCAGTGTGTAAGTTACTTTCAGCATTGTCCTGTGGGGGCAGGAGAGTGGGGCTCACCTATTCTAAGACGTGTCAATTACTTCTGGTTTTCAATAGCAGCGGCAAAGTGGGGTCACTGGCCCTTCCAAAGGCCGAGGGAGTCCTGTGAAGAATTGCAGGTGCCGGCCAGTGGAAGCAACTGTTCATCAAAGCAGAACACCCGTGTCATCCTCTACACAGTATTGCATGCTTGGAGGCTTTTCTGATCTCGGCTCTCTTCCAAACCTGCTCTGAACTTCACCCTACCGATAATAGTTACAAAAGTTTATATATGACTCTGAGGATTGTAAAAGGCTTCTACACTCAGCAACAGAGAAATTTGGGCTCTAATTCCAGGTAAATTTTCTAAGTTCATTCACAGAAGATTTTATTTTCTCTTCGTTATGCTTCATATAAATCTTTCCAGTTGTACATCTTTTCCTCTACTGAAGGATATTTATATATGTGTCTTACCTCTTTCTTGTTCATGCTAAATTAAGACTCTGATATGAAGGAGAGTATTTTAATACCTTATCTTAACATACTTTCAAGAAACTAAGAGTTCCATGTATAATAGAATCTCAAACGTATTAATGACGTTTTAATTAATTAAATCAAAATTTTGTACTTTCTAGCATATAGCCTCATATAATTTTCAGTTTTGCTATTTTTAGCAAAATTGTTGATTTTATTCATAAAATAGTTATTTTTCTTGGCAACTGTACCAATTTTATTCCACTTGCTATAAGATAATTAACAGAATATTTGATAACTAGTACATGTCAGATTTTTCTGGGCTCACATTATAAGACATTATATTATAAAATATTGATAGAAAGAAGTGTATGATCCAGCAATGATTGACTCATGAAAAATGATATTGTTGGGCAAAAAATGAGACTCTTGGTATAGCATAGTTTATTGGAATTGTATTCAACACTCTACCTATTGTCATTCTTAGATTTACTTAATAAATGTTAACTGGCTTTTTGTCCACTTGCCAAATTTTAAAAATGATAATCACTATAACTGACCTATCATACATTGTTGGTACAATATATAATATCTATTAACATCCCAAATTATGGGGGAAAAATAATAAAATGGCTTTATGTACACATCATCCTCAAACTTATTAGCTCTATGTCCTTGGATATAACATCCCTTTGCTTTAGTTTCCTGACTTGTAAAATAGATTGCAAAATGTCTTTCCCATAAGATTGTGTTACAATTAAGTGTATATTTCCAGATAAAGCACTTAGGAAAGACTCTGACATGTAATTCCTAGCAAAGGTAGGCCATTTTTACTTCTTATGTTAAGATAATAATAGAGAAAAAGGTCATTTTCATTGTCCAGATAGAGAAGACATTGCTTAATGAATATACTACTTTGTGTCTGTATTGACTTTACACATACAAAATTGGGTGGAAGAACTTTTTTCTCTATTGCTGGGTTATATTTTTTTTTAATTAAACTTTCTTTTTAAGATAATTGTAGAATCACAACTAGGATACTGACATTGATACAGCCAAGATAGAGGGAGACAATTTCCATCACCATGAGGATCCCTCATGTTGCCCTTTGATAGTCACCCAACTTCCCTCCCACACCACCTTCCTTCCTTAATACCTGGAAACCATTAATCTGTTCTACATTTATATAATTTTGTCATTAAAATGTTATGTAAATAAATCACAGCATGTAATATTTGAGATTAGCTTTTTTTTTTTTAATTGAGCATCATTCTCTGGAGATTCATTCAGGTGTTTGCATATATCAATCAATAATGTGCTCCTATTCACTGCTAAGCAGGACCTGGTACAGATGTACCACAATTTGTTTAACTATTCACTCAAGACAGCTGGGTTGTTTTCACTTTTGATTTATCACTAAAACATTTGTATATGGATTTAAGTGTAAGTATATTTTCATTTCTCTGCGTTGACTGACCAAGAACGTAGCTGCTGGGTAGTTGTATGATTTTTGTTTTCTTTTCTTATCTGCCAATTTGTTTTCTAGAGTGGCTGTACCATTTTATGTTCTTATCAGCAATGAGTAATCCAGTTTATCTGCATAATCACCAGCATTTGGTGTTGATCCTATTTTTTTACTTTAGTCCTTCTGATAGCTGTGAAGTAATTACATTTTGAGGTTAATTTACAATTCTCTAATGGCTAATGACATTGAACATCTTTTCATATGTTTATTTGCGATGTGGTATTATCTTCATTGAAATGTCTCAATCTCATTTGATCATTTTCTAATTCAATTTTTATTTGCATTTTGAGAATTATTATGTATTCTAAATACTAATCCTTTGTCAGATACGTAGTTTGCATACATTTTCTCCAAGTCTGTAGATGACTTTTTATCCTCTTAACAACTTATTTTAAAGTGAAAAAAATTTAAATTTGATGAAGTCCAATTTATCAATTTTTCCTTTTATATTTTGAGCTTTTGCTGTCACGTTTAAGAACTCCATATCATAATTGTTCTCCCCTGTTTTTTCCTACAAGTTTTATAGTTTTACACTTAAGTCTATGACTCATTTTAAATTAATTTTTGTATAATAAAAGTGTGAGACTTAGGTCAAGGTTCATATTTTTTCTTCAGGATGTCTACTTTCTCCAACATCATTTGTTGAAAAGGCTATCTTTATTCAATTTAAATTCTTGTGTACCTATATCAAAAAATAATTGGGCAAATTTTGTCTCTTTCTGGATTCCCTCTTCAGTTCTGTGGATCTATTTGTCTGTATCTCTGCCAATACTTCAGTCTTGATAATGGTAGCTATGTAATAAATCATGAGATTGGATAGAGAGATTTCTCCCATTTTATTCTTCCTTTTCAAAATTGTCTTAGCTTTTCTAGTTCCTTTGACTTTCTTTATAAATTTTAGAACATTATTACTATCTACAGAACTTGTTACTGGGACATAGATAGAAGTTTAGTTAAACTAGTACATCAATTTGGGGAACACCGACATCTATAATATGTTGACCCTTCTAATATATGAGCATGATATGTCTCTCCATTTACTTATGAATTCATTTATTTCTTTCATCAACATTTGTAGTTTTCAGAATACAAGTCCTGAACATAGTTTCGGATTTGAATCCGAATATTTTATTTATTTTGAACAAATATAAGTGGTATCATATTTTTAATTTTGCTTTATCGCTGGTACAGAAATACTATTTTTTGTATTTTTTGTATACCATGTGGCATTCCTGAACTTACTTATTAGGTGTAAGAGTTTTAGGATATGTTTTATAGATGCCTTGGGATTTTCTAGGTAAACAATCATATTTGTAAAGGATAGTTGCATTTCTTACTTTACAATCTGTATGCTATTTATTCCCTTTGTTAACTACTGCATGGGCTAGAGCTTCCAGCATTATGTTGATTAAGAGTGGTGAGAACAGATGTACTTGACTTTTTTCTGAACGTAGGAAAAAATAATTTATGTTTCACCATTAATATTATGTTAGCTGTAAGATTCTGTAAATTTTTTTTCTTTTAATCTAGTTGAGGAATTCCCTCTCTATTCCTATTTTCCTGAGATACTTTATCATGAATAAATATTGGATTTTGTTAACATGCGTTTTCAGCATTGATTGCTATGATCATGTGTGGTGTTTCTTGTTTTTCTTTTTTTATGTTAATTTAGTAGGTTACATTGATTGATTTTCAACTATTGAACAATTTTACATTCCTGGAATAAAACTCACTTGTTCATAGTTTGTAAATCTTCATAAATGTAGCTGAATTTTATTTGCTAATATTTTGTTAATAATTTTTTGCCTCTATATTCAAGAGGAATGTTGATCTGCAGTTTCCTTTTATCATATTTTCATGGTCTAGTTTACATATCAGAGTAGTACTCATTTTATGAAATGAAGTGGAAAATATTACTTATACTTTGGAAGATAATTTGAAGACTTGATATTAATTATCCTTTAAACATTTGGCAGAATTCTCCAGTGAAACCACTTAGAGACGCCACATTTCTATTTTTGGAATATTTAAATACAAATTCAATTTTCTTAATAGTTAAAGGGCTTTTAAAACTATTTTACCTTGGGTGAGTTGTCCATTTCATCTAAGTGGTTAAATTCATGTTGTTTGTAAGATTTCTTTTCTTTTTTTTTTTCTTTCAGACAGAGTCTTGCTCTGTCGCCAGGCTGGAGTGTAGTGGCGCGATCTCGGCTCACTGCAACCTCCGCCTCCTGGGTTCAAGCGATTCTCCTGCCTCAGCCTCCCTAGTAGCTGGGACTACAGGCGCGTGTCACCATGCTTGGCTAATTTTTGTATTTTTCAGTAGAGACAAAGTTTCATCATGTTGTCCAGGATGGTCTGGATCTCAACCTCGTAATCGGCCCACCTCCGCCTCCCAAAGTGCTGGGATTACAGGCGTGAGCCACTTCGCCCGACCTGTAAGAGTTATTTAATATCCTTTTGATATCTGTAAGATCTATATTACTAGTTGTTTGTGTCTTCTCCTCTTTTTACACTGTCACTCTTGCAAAGTTTGGTCAATTTTATTGACGTTTTCAAAAAAAATTTCTTGTTTCTTTAGTTTTTTCTACTGTTTTTCTATTCTTTCATTGACGCATACTCTTATTTTTATTATTTCCTTTCTTCTGCTTGCTTTTTGGGCCTCTTTCTCCACATTATTGAGGTGAGGACTTAGTCAAAAATAGTAAAAAATGACTATTTGAGTCATTTTCTCATTTTCATAGCACCAAATGTAAGCATTTAGTGCTATAAATTTATCTTTCAGCACTGTTAACTGTGTCCCACACATTTAGATATAGATTATATTCATTTTCATTCAGTGCAAGGCACTTTTAAATTTTCCTTGATAGCTCCTCAGTGACCAGTGGATTTATTTAGATGTGTTGTATACAAGTCTTAAGAGATTATCCTATTCTATTATTGATTTCTAGTTCGAGCCACACATTGTATGACTTCAATTGTTTTAAAATTGTTAAGACTTGTATGGCCCAGGATGTGGCCTATCTTGGTATATGCTCTGTGCACTTGAAAAAGAATGCTAATCCTGCTGTTTTGAGGTGAATTTTTCTGTAAATATCAATTAAATAATGTTGTTGTGATCCTCCATATACTTGCTGAATCTATATCTAGCTTTTTTATCAATTGTTGAGTGAAGAGCATTGATGTCTCCTAGTAAATTGTGAATTTGTCTATTTCTTCTTTTAAATCTGTAAGTTTTTCTCCACATATTTTGTAGTTCCACTATTTGGTGTCATGTTTCTTGGAAGATTGACTCTTTCAACATTATATAATATACCCTACTCTGATAATATTCTTTTCTCTGAAGTCCACTTTATCTGATATTAATGAATACAGGGCACCTGCTTTTTCTGATTTTTTGCATGGTATAGTTCTTTCCACACTTTTCCTTTCAAATTGTCTCTATTGTTATGTTTGAAATAATGTTCTCGTCGAAAGGATATAGTTGGGTAATATTTTTAATCCACTTTGCCAATTTTTGTCTTTTAATTGGTATTCAGACCATTTATATTTCACTTAATTATTTTTATATTATGGTTAAGTCTGCCATTTGTACCTTCTGTTTTTTTCTTTCTGTTTTTCATTTACTTTTTCACCATCTTTCTAAGTGTTACTTACATTTTTTCTTTCTACATTTGCTTTTTGATTAATCTATAGTGCTTTTGGGTGTATCCTTTTGTATAGTATTTTTAATGGCATCTTAGGTGTTATATTATATATACATTAAGTATAACAATGCACTGTTGTCACTATTTTACCATTTTGAGTGAAGTATAGAAAGAAACCTTACCGCTCTTTATATACCTTTATTCTCCTCCATTTATTTTATGCTCATTTTAATTGCTTCCTCGATATACATTTAGAACTACCATGTTCAGACATTTTTATATTGCTAAATTTGGGGAGCTTTCAATGATTATTTATTTGATTATTGCTACATCCTTGCCTGCTTTTTTCTCTTCCAGAAATCCAGTGTCATAAATATGAGAACTTTTGTTATAGTCCCACAGGCCCATCAGGCTCTATTCATTTTTTTCAGACTATTTTCTCCTTGTTGTTTAGATTGAGTAATTTCTATTGTATCTTCCAGTTCAGTGATCCTGTTTTTTCTGTTCCCTCCATTCTGCTATTAAACCTATCCATTAAGTTTCTTTCCTAGTTATTGTATTTTTCAGTTCTAAAATTTTCAGTTGGTCCTTCTTTATATCTTCTATTTCTTTGGTGAGACTTTCTATGTTTTCATCATTTTTCAAGCATGTTTCTAACTGTTCATTGAAAATTTTCTATAATCAGTGCTTTCAAATTTTTGCCGGATACTTCCGATATATCTTTCATCTCAATGTTGGTGTCTGTTGATTACCTTTTATCATTCAGCTTGAAACCTTTCCAGTTCCTGGTATGATAAGTAGCTTAATTGAAACATGTATTACAGTATAAGACTGGATTTTATTTGAATTTTCTGTTTTCCTAGATATTTTAAACATGGCTTACCACCATGAAGGAATAAAAATTGAGATTTTCCACTTGGCCTTTGTTGACACCTAAGGTTTGCAGGTGGACTCTTTGTTACTGCTGTACTGAGGTGAGTATTTGAAAGTTTGAGCTCCACAATAGACTTCCAGTGATACCTCTTTGGTTGTGGGTGGTAAGAGTGACTCATTACTGCTCCCCACATGATTTCTACTGACACTGCCTGGAGGGGAGTAGTCTCATTACCCCTAGATGGTGGTGAATGTTATGGCTCACCAGTTAGCTTCTAAGAAAATGAAATTCATGTACTTTTTCCTGCTCCCCCAACTAAGTACAACTAAAAATCCTGGACATTAAATATAAGACATAAATAAGACTGTAAGACAATAAGTGGAATACTGCTTATGGACCTTGGGACATGAGAAATGACAAGGTAGTGAGTTCCCTGAATTTTCTTTTTGCCTCATATCTGCCAAATTTGGAACTAGAGAAGTTGACAACCTGGAGACCCCAATGGTGGCAGGCCAAAAAAGTCCCAACAAAGGCCTATGCTATAGCCAAAAGATCAGGAGAGGGCTAGCCTAGCAAGGCAGAGAGATTTTAGACAATGACTGCTCTACTCCAGAAAACCACCATGTATAAAAAATAATGGCCTTAACCCATCTGTGCCAGTAAATTTCAATAAGGGAGCCTAGGCCTTCACCTGCAGAAGATGTAAGGATGAAAGATTACCCATTCCTGTTCACATTTCTATCCCCCATAATCTTCAACTTTAGTCCCTTCCATGATGTCAGTGAGGACCACCTCCATCCATAAGTAAGGGGAGACCCTCCCTCTCCACATTGGAAAATAATCTTATTTTATTTTTTAAAAGTATATAGAGCATTTAAGTTAAAAGCATATATTCTTAGGACATTTAAATCATGAATTGAATACCAAATTTCCTGAGATATAAGTGGAAAAATGATAAATAGCCATCTCAGAAAATATAGCAGCTCTTCAGGAAAAAAAAAATTCAGTTCATGTTTCTCTGCATAAGAGACTATTTCATTATTTGTGTTGTTAAATATTACTCTCATAGTACCATCACTATGTATAACAAAAGGAATGTGCATTATTTAAATAAATATAGGAAAATCAAATGTATTTAGCAACAGTAATATATTGATCAAAAATACCAAACCTTTCTCTGCTATTTTTCTGACTTACTTATATTTCTAAGAATCAAGAGATAAAAGTTGGAAAAGCCAGATTTTTGAAATAATTTGCATATTTCTCTACGATCTTGTATTCATCATATGCAGAGGTATTAGCTATCCATCATTCTCCAAAGATCTGCACACATTTAAGTCGATGCACTTTTAATTTTACTACTGTGAATTCAAACTATCCTTTTGAATGCTACTCATGTCTATAGGTTGCATTCTTTGCAAAAAAAGGAGGTATTTAAAAATTAAATGATATATTCATCATAACATATAATAAATATATTTTTTAATATAATATTATATAAAATAATTTCTACTAAATATAATAAATTTATATTTGTTATATTTCTACTAAATATAATAAAGTCTCTTTGGAATGTCTGTAAAAATAGACTGAAATTACTTGAACTGTAGACATAACTATAGACATATTCATGTGTTCCTCTATACAGGAAACTATTAATAACTCCATGCAAGACATGTTAATATTTTAATTGTAGTATGAAAATAACACTTTTTAAAATGTCAGAATATTGTTATATAAAATATTTAATTTTCTCATTTTTTAATATTATTGAAAGTTGCTGAAATAAGATGTTAAATTAAAATTTTATAGAATTAAGATTTCCACTTTTTAAATATTTAGATTATTTTTCATTCTATACGGTTTGTCAGTTTTGAAAAATCATGGCCTTTCTTTCAATCATTTCCTAGCACCTAATAAGCAAGTGGAACAAAAATTTATTAAATATACTATTTTTTAAGATAACTCAATTTCCTATTTTGGAACTTTAAGTAATTGAGTCATGAAAAACATATTTATAATATCAGAAATTTAAGATGTTCTATTCAAGAATTAAGCCTAGAGTGATTTCTTTTAAAGGTATGGAACTAGTGTTAACATCTCAAACAAAGGCTTTTATTTTCTAGACACTTTCTAGATATACAAATGTTAATGGTGGAGATTTTCAGCATGTATGATAGGTAGGTTTTTAATTTAAATGTTATGAAAGAAGTATGGAGAAGAACCAATTCATATGCAAATAAACCTTTTTTTCTAACAGCAAAAATATAATTTTGATATGAATCCATCATAGTGGAATCAAAAAAGTTTTTATCAGTGAGCAAAAATGAGCAATGAATCCCCAGTATATAAGGATCATATTGAAAAAATGTGTATGTATAATTTTGGATGCCACTGACCTCTAGGGCAACAATAAGACAGAGACCCATCATTGACTTATAGACGTATTTTAAGGTACATATGCATTGAGCTAATACATTGCTGTTGTCACAAATACATTGCTGTTGTCACAAGTACAAGAAAAGACAATAGCAATAATAATTTTAAAGATCATTCTTCATAGAAAGGTAAGAAACTGTTAAACCCACTAGTCATTAAGGTTACACAGAAGACTAAAGAAGTAAATTAGTTTGAGAAGGACAACATATTTTCATCACTAATAATACTCATACTGACCTACTGAAGTAAGCTAATATGAGTTTACCAAAACAAAAGTAGTTCTCTCTCTCTCTCTCTCTCTCTTCAGGCTTTTAATTAAGTTCTCTCCAAGAAATGTCATTTGAAATTTGTTTTAAAAAATTAGAATAAATTTGACTGATTTCTAATCACAAAATACATATCTTTAAAAGGTTGACTACCATAGATATCTTTAAAAGGTTGACTACCATAGATATCTTTAAAAGGTTGACTACCATAGATATGAGTGCTTGACAACAAATGTTGTGTATGTGTGTTTGTGGGTACTCACATATATCTGAAGTGATTCTTTTTTAATTTTTGAGGCAGAGTCTCACACAGTCACCCAGGCTAGAATACAGTGGCATTATCATAGTTTACTGCAACCTCGATCTCCCGAGGTCAGGTGATTCTCCCACCTCAGCCTCCGAGGTAGCTGGTTCCACAGGCACATGCCACCATGCCTGGTTAATTTTTGTATGTTTTGTAGAGACAGGGTTTCGCCATGTTGCCCAGGCTGGTCTCAAATTCCTGGGCTCAGGTAATCTGCCTGTCTTGGCCTCCCAAAGTGCTGGGAATATAGGTGTAAGGCACCATGTTTGGCCTACTTGAAGTGATTTTTAAATTAGATGTTTCAAAAATAAATGAAAAGTTGAATTCTTTAAGCCACAATATGCAACTTAATACACTATTTTCATTTTTAGTTTACTTATTTAATAATTTACTTGTTGAATTTAATAAATAAATACTGATATAGTTCTAAAATATGGCCAGTACCATTCACATGCTTTACGAAAGTTAGCTCACTTCATCATCACAACAACTCTGTGAGGAATCATAATTATTTCCACTGGGAAAAGGGGGAAATTGAGGAATTAAGTAACTTGTTTAAGATTACACAGCTAATATGAGATCCAGGATTTAGCCTAAGACTTCTGTATCTGGCGGCCATGTTTCATCACAACAATCTGATGCTGCCTTAATATGATAAATATCATGACTTTTTATGTTCAATCTGATAATATGCTTATGTATGTAGATTTTTATTTAACATAATTAGATACAAATACAACAAGCCTATTACTTATGATGGCTAAGATAGCTGTACTAAAAGAAATTTTATTGATTGAATAATTAGAGCAAAAGATCTCTTAGTGTAGTAGAAATACATTTTGCATATGAGAGGATTAAGAGATCAGGACATAGATGGGAAGAGAGAAGTTACAGGAGAATATTAAATGCAGTAAAACTGAGTTTGCACTATCAAACATCACCACTAGCTATGGAAATTTCCCAGCCTGTGTAATAAGGACTGTCTCTTTATTTGATTATCAAATACTAATCTAAGCTCCTTATGTCTTTTCACATTCCTATTTATTCACTCCAAGTCATATCCAAGTCATTCATTCATCATATATTCCTCCATGGGCATTTCATGTATCCTGCTTCCTTGGTGAGAAATCATGCCTCTAACTTAACTCAGATGGAAGGGAAGGATAACTATCTGAAATGATGGGAGGCTCTCCACACTTTTAGATTGTCCATCTATGAATATTTACACACTTTGCTGCAGAAATGGTAATATATTTTGTTAGAAAACCCATTACAGTAGCCTGAAACACATCTAATCTGGTTTCAGATAAGTCATTGATGACCTATACATGTTTAAGTGAATAATGTATAATTATTTTTAGTTCTATTACCTACTAACTGACATGGTTGCTTGTACCTTTATTCACCACCGACCCAACAACGCAGTCTCTTTCCCAAAACAGCAACAAAGTTATCTTTTTAAAAATATTATAAAAGTCAGATCATTTTATTTTTTGGTAGGCACCCCCATGTAACAAGAAGGTCCCTCCCACTAGTTTGTGATGTCTGATTGACAACTGTCTGACATAAGACCCATTTGACCCTTGGTTGGCCTGCTGAGATATTCCTGCTTGCCTCTCTCCACTTCTCTCCCTCCTTAATCAAACCCCAGATACCTATATGTGTTAGGTAGCTAAACGGTCCTTACGGCATGCTGTGATAAATTTAGAAAAATTAGTTCTGTTTTGGGCAGCACCTGAAAATGCTGGTTAGGGTTAAGCACCGGGGTAAGAGGGAGAACACAGACCATTTGTGTTTGCTAGCTTTACCCAGAGGAAAAGCAAAGTTTCTCTGGTATCTTTGTGAGGAGTTGTTTTACTACCTGGGGCAAGGAACTCACAGAAGTTAGGCTCCTAACCTTCCAGGGAAACTGGGAGATAGCAGTACTATCTTCCTTGATGTGTAGATTTCAAAGTGATGGCCCCAAGCCCTGGAGGAAGACATTCCCAGGTCATAAAATTTTCAAGAGGCTTTTAGATAGATTTACATCTCAAAGGAACAGCGATTACAAGTTTCCTAAGGTAAGTGCTTTAAGGAAGAGAAGATCAGAGGCCTGAAGTCAAGAAGAAACCCGCCTGAAGTCTAGTCAAGCTGAGAGGAGCTTAAAGGCTGTCTTGGTCAGTATCAATAAGTTTTGATCTCTTAAGTTCGGTGTTGATCTTAGCCATGGAATTTTTTATAATCGTTGTGCCAAGAAAGGCAAGTACTTTCAACTATAAGGATTGTTATGCCATACGTGCTTTTAGTAATATCACAAAACAAATACTCATGGCTAGTATTTACCTTGGTCTGATTGTTTTGAACTATAATAATGCACCTGTTCACATTCTAGTCTACTCACGAACTCTAAAATTGTAAGACTTTAGAAACTTGGTATGTATATAATATTAGCATCTAGAATATTGTTTTGATGTTCTTATTTTTGGAAATTAGGAAAAAAAAGTTGAGAAATTTGTGACCTGAACTCTGTATGATGCACTAGCATTGGCACTTGAGTACTCATTACAAAAACTAGATGTTTATAAGCCATGGAAATGAAAAATATATATGTGTTTGCTTAATTTGAGAAAGAAAAATTATTATAAAATTCCAAAAGAATATTGAGAGGTGAAGCCAGCTGGACTTCCTGGGTGGAGTGGAGACTTGGAGAACTTTTCTGTCTTACAAGGGGATTGTAAAATGCACCAATCAGCGCTCTGCAAAATGGACCAATCTGTGCTCTGTAAAATGGACTAATCAGCACTCTGTAAAATGGACCAATTGGCAGGATCCTAAAAGTAGCCAATCACAGGGAGGATTGGAAAAAAGGCCACTCTGATAGGACAAAAACAGAACATGAGAAGGGACAAATAAGGGAAGAAAAGCTGGCCACCCCAGCAAGCAGTGGCAACCCATTCGGTTCTCTTTCCACGCTGTGGAAACTTTGTTCTTTAGCTCTTCACAAAAAATCTTGCTGCTGCTCACTCTTTGGGTCCATGCTATCTTTAAGAGCTGTAACACTCACTGGGAAGGTCCGCGGCTCCATTCTTGAAGTCAGCAAGACCACAAACCCACTGGAAGGAAACAACTCTGGACACGGTATTATTACAAATTGCTTTAATTTTATTTTCTTCTCAATTGTTATTAGCTGAGACATCTCTCGTAATAAGTTTATCCTATAAGAAAATATAGTTAATGCTTTTAGTTGTCATTTGTAATAGATTGCTTTGTATGTGTATGTATACATCTATCTGTGTGCTTTGTATATTTTGTATATGTTTTCTCTAACTGAACGCTATATTAAAGCAAAAGAAATAGAATATTTCCTTAGCTTAAAAGAAGTGGCTAATTGAAAACTATCAAAAATTTGGTTACCATTTTTTGAACAGGTTCATGTTACAAATGCAAATTTAAAATTGCAGGCAGACCCATAAAAGAGGTACCAATCGGAAAATAAAAACATTTCCGATAGTAGCTTTTCCTGAAATAATGTAGTGGGACTTGCTTTTTTCACTTTTCTTTGATAAAATTAAATTATTCTACCTAATAATTATAGATGCATGTTTTTATTATTGATGCTATAGGATTTATTTATTTTTCAGAAATAGAATAGATGTGGCTTAGTACCATAATACTATAGCATGCAGTACTATGGACAATTTGGAGAGTTCTTTAGTTGGTTAAGCCAAGAGACTCCAATGAGTATTCTCAATTCAGTTTTCTTCATATAAAACATGGCATTGGAACAATGAATGCTCAAAAAGTAATTTTGTAATGGTATTATCCACTTTCTTAAAGATAACAAGTTGGTCTAAAAGTCATTAAGGAAACATTGAATCCCCGTTTATCTCAGATTAGTAACGACAAGAATACCTATTTTATAAGCAAGAAAATATTATTACAAACTGCCAGAGACTCATAATGTATTTACTAAAAATCTATTTTTATATCGGGAAACCCCCAAATGCTAGATTCTGATCTTTACCGCATTAACTCAGATTTTCATTTTCTTGTTCCTCAGGTATTAGGAAACTTTTCTGACTGAATTTACTCTTCTCTGTCAAGCCAATCATGCCTGCTGCTCACACTATTACTGAGTTATTTCAAACATTCCATGGGTCTCATGACCTACATATTTAAATACATATTCCTCAATATGCCATTGAAAGCATTCTATGACCTGGCCCTTACTTCAGTGCCGTCTTTCAAAGTGCTTGACTTAAAATACACAAACTAGGTACACCAATGTTTTTGTTTCTTAATATTGTCATTTGTTTTTGTAAACCAAGTTGCCTCATTACATGTCTTCTTCCCGCATAGTCCTCATTTCATCTTTCAATTGTAATTTTACCTTTATTTGTGTGATTATTTGACTATTGCCAATCTTTCCCAATGGACTGCAAACCTGGAGGCAAGAACATCTATCTGTATGATTTGTATATTTTCTCTTCAGTGCAGTGCATGTCGAGTTAATAAAATAGATAATCATTCAATAAATGAATACTGTAACAATATATGTCACACATAGTGCTTTGAAATTGAATTTAGTAATTATTCTGTATTTTCAAATAGCAATTCTGTAGGGTACTAAACAGTTTTAAAATATTCTAACAAAGTCATTGCTTTAAATGTCATATTAATTTTTAAGGTGGTAATAAGTGTGGAATCAGTGATTTAGTCATCTTTATTAAAGACTGTATGCCCACATGCGTAACATTTTGTTAGAAAACCAGGATGAGAACATAGCGCATTTTCGTGCAGAGGTGGGAGTGGGCAGTGTCTAAAAAAAATAACTTTATGAACAAAACCTGTTCACTTTAGATGTGATTAACCTCCCAGTGCCATCTGCATTATTAATGTGATGGGATTATTATACTATCCTAATGTATTTGAATTTCTATTAATGTTTTCTCCATTAAATAAACAAATAAAAGTGGTTGAGAAAGAGATGACATTTGCTTTAACTGTTCATTGTGGAATTTTTTTTCTAAAGCAGTGGTGGTTTGTTAAATACAAACTATTAAATGAATGATATTTCATGAGAGGTTTTGAACCTAATTATAACAAATGTCATCATGTTCTTTATTAAAAGGATTTGAAAAATTTCTCAGCAGAAAAAAATTGATACCTAAATCCTTATGATATTTAAATCATTCCATTAATTTAAAAATTATAAGTTGAATTGACAGTACACTTAATTTAAATTTATAATCAAATTGAGTTATTAATTGAATAACTTGCAGTCCTATGGGACATACTTCTGTGTACCATTTTGTAAATCGTCTTGTTGAAAGAAATGGTTATGAAAAGTAGTATCAGTTAAATTAGAATGAAGATATTGTGAGTGTGACACAATGGCTAATGTCAAACTTTAACAAAAGATCCTTCTTAAAAATAGTTGTTCTGCAATGAGAACACATGGAAACAGGGAGGGGAACATCATACTCCAGGGCGTGTTGGGGAGTCTGGGGCAAGGGGAGGGAGAACATTAGGCCAAATACCTAATGCACGTAGAGCTTAAAACCTAGATGATGGGTTGATAGGCACAGCAAACCACCATGGTACATGTATACCTATGTAACAAACCATGTTCTGCACATGTATCCCAGAACTTAAAGTAAAATTTAAAATAAAAAACAAAATTAAAAAAAAGCGAGAGAAGAGAAGAAGACACAACTACAAAAGAGAAGTCCACGTGAGGGGAGTGTGGCCCTGCTAACATCTTGATTTCAGACTTCAGCCCTTCAGAACTACAATAAACTTCTATAAGCCAAAGGAAAACAAAACAAAACAAAACATTGTTTTGTTATTTTGAAATTTCAGAGATAATAATTTTTACATTTATAAGGCTTTGCAATGATTTTCTTAAAGGGTGATACAAATATGATGTTATTTCAAATGTGAAAATGAATGATAAAATCCATTTCAATCATATTCTCATTTCACATATTTTTTGTTAAATGTTCATTTATTATTATGTTTAGTTGAGAAATAATGTAGTTTGGCTTCCATTACAGTATTTCTAAGATTACTATCAGAATTAATGTTCCCATATTCCCAGTATTGGAAATTATAGATTCAATATTTTCATGAGCTACAAAATTATTCTCTCTGTGTCTGGCTTTTCTCTGCCTCTCTGTCTCTCTCTGTCTTTAGCTTATAAAATTTATGCACTTTTAATATTATTATATTCTCTGGTTTCAGTCTTAATAGGACCATTAATCCAATTATTTTTGCAGTATAATTTCAAGCACAATTTTTTGAATATATTTTAATACTTTATTGAAAATATATTGAATCAAGAACATGTGGGTTAGATGACAAATGAAAAAGAGATGCCACCACAAGGTAGAGACCTGTATCTCTGAAGTATACAATTGATATCTTACAAGGAATTAATAGAATTGACTTTTTTAAAAATATTATGGGCATTAATCCCATATCCAGACCCCATTAAAGAAACCCATAAATAGAGGAATGTTTAAATTTTGAAGTCTCTTGACTTGGCTCTTGGCTAGTAATTCAAGTTACTTTTTTCCCCCACCAAAAATAGTGAAATTTAGATCCTAACATCACTCTAAAATTCAGTCAAAACAAATGAAATGTAACTTGTGCTCTTCTGAGGGCAGAGACATACAATTTATGATATATTAATACAACAGAACTTTTGCAAATGAAGATATTTGCTCCATTTTATGAAAATTGTCTACACATTGCTACATACACACATACAGTATGCATTGCATGTCTAATGAGATTGGGATTATGTGTTGAATCTTACAGGTTTAAGAAAATAATCTATTTGAAGAATCCTTATATTAATAGATTTGTTTTCCTTGAAAGAAACACGAAATCTCAACTAAAGTATTCATGTACTTATTCTTGCATTTTGACTATGGACGTATTCAGCTCTCTAGCTGGTTCTTGCTTTTAATTTGACTTTAGGACTTCAATAAAGAAAAGCGTAGGATTAGTTCAAAAAAATAGTACTTACCATTTCAAGCTTTTCTGTCTTTTATTAAGACTGACTTATGCTTGCTATGCATGCTATCAGCCAATATAAATGAGTTTCTTGCATTTACATAACACTTTCTGGGCAGTCTGTTACTCAAATTTGTGGTTTGGTCTCTTATTCTTATTCAGAGTTTACCCTTTGGATACAATTGCCAATTATAGCTTCTGTTTTTCTTAAACACTAGTCATAATTACTCCTTTCCTATTTATCCTTCTTGATCTTGAAAGTCATTAATTTAAAACATAGGTTATAGATAATGTTTTGTAACTCAGAAATAATACTTATCGCTTCATGTAATTTAAAAATGAGTTATTAAAAGAGAAAACCATAGCTTGAGTTTATTTTAAAAATATGGTACAAACATGGGATCTGTGAATAATGAAGGTCAGCTGCATTTCAATGTTCTTTTGTTGATATTAACTATTTTTGTTTATGGCAGTCTTAAAAGTGAAACTCAGATATTATTGATTCACTTTTATTCTAGGTAACACAGTTCCATCCCTTTATATCTAAAATATTAGTCTCCTAACAATATACCACATTTAAGGATATCTGAATTCAACTTATTATTGGTCTTCAGAATAGAAATCATGTCCAGTCTATCAATGATACATTTCAACAATAATAAATAATAAAATAACAGATATTTTCACACCCTCATTTTCAGGCTAGTGTTTGAAAATGACTGAAACTATGGCTTTTCTTTTGTAAATTGGACATAATAAAAATATTGATATTGAGCTTTTCACAATCTGAAGTGTTAATTAATGTTTACTTTTTACTTGGATTTTAACATTAATGATTGGTTTGTTTAAAACCAAACAAAACCAAACAAAACAATACAGCTGTCTGATTACTGAAAGCCTGTAAGGAGGGCATCAGGGTGAGCATGGAAGTACAGGGCCACAATCTGTTAATTTATGATCCTTAAGGGACATCAGCCAGTTGAAGTATTTTAGCTGTAAAATTCTTGGCAATTACTATTGCAGTGGATATAAGAATAACGAAGTGAAGTCTAGTGATAATTATAATTCTTCCAGTGCATTACAGAAGAATGTCATATGGCTCCTGAAAAAATTACAACCAAGAATTTTTTAATGTATTTGGTTTTATCTGATGATGAAAACTTTACTCATTCAATTTTGATGAATCTTATATATATAAAAGCAATTATGTACATAAATTGGAGTTTAAAATAAACTAGACATAGTTTAGTGATGGTGGTAGTAATGGAATGATCTCAATAACAAGGTCTAAAATTCATTATCTTTCAATCTTCATAATTATTTTTTAAAGTTATAATTTTCATATATTTTCCATGATTATATAGGCAATTAAGTTTGATTACTTTTCATATGTACCTGCATGCTCAATGCAGTTAATTCTGATATGACATCTGATTCATTGGCTTATGTATATCTGGTAAATCATATACTATGAGATGTGGAGAATATAAAAAGAATAAAAATTACACTTTTGTTGGAACCAAGTCATATTTTTGCATATGTATATATACTAGTGTTTATGCAAAAAACAAAAAAATTAGTGCAAAATGTACTGTAGACTACTTACAACATGTTCTGAAAAATAAAATTATACATTAGTCTTAAAAATTGAATGATATGATGTAAATCTATTAAAAATGGGATGTACAAATACATATCACTTAATTTTTTCTAAGTAAAATGATGTAGCATTTAAATAACATTAAAAGTTAAAAAAAAAGAAGTGAATATGCTACTTGCACAAAACATGTAATCTTTATTACCATCAATAAATTCTCAATTTCCAAAGGTGTTAATGAACTCCTCACAGTACCTAACGCATACCCCAAAATACTTTGTGTGTTCATTATTTGGTGATGATCATGATCATGATCTAGTGTACTGATGTTATTACTCTATAACATCTCAATGACATAAGATAATAAAAATCAGAATAATTCTTATTAACATTGACACATTGCCAAAGTACCAAACTTACACCCGGGAGTAGTTTACAAATGATGAGCATCTGGATGGTTATGTATTAAGCTCCCTCAGGTGAATGATTCGGTGCTTCCCATTACTCAGAATCACTTTTAAAGACATGACACCTGCTCCATAACAGTTTCAATACTAAAGACCAACTTAGTGATTGACATAATCTGTGTTATAATGAAGCATAAAGACATTAGAAAATCCGGCAATTTCAAAATAGGAAATGAAGACATCACAGAATAGCAATTACTTTTTATTGTCACTGTAGTTATTCAGATATACACATCTGAACATGGTTTACTATAATTTTTTGAAGAAATAATCATCCGTTCATTACCAGCCAGGATAATTGAGTAAAGGAAGAGGTGTGACACCTACAAACGAGCACTTTCTGTCCTCTGGAGAGATTACCTTTCTCCTTGTGGACTTTATGTTTGTTTGACAAAACGATAAACCTCATGCCTGTAATATAATGAGATTATCCAATTTCTCAAGCTAATGGGCATTATGCCCTATGTGTCCTGTAGGCCTCTCAAAATAGCTGTCAAGAGCACTCATTAGGATATTCCCCAATTTTTCTCTTCCAACATATGCATTTATGCAGTGTTGTACCTATTTATAATTTACATATAGCTCTCCAATTCAGGAAGTCATAATCTACTTCTTTCTTTTCTTTCCCCCCTTCAAATCTAGTTGATTCCCAAATGCTTCTCACATCTCTCCTTTACTCATCACTGACCACTGCTTAATTCAGGACTTCACTGTATCTCACCACAAGAACAATATCTTTTTAAATATAGTTTCAACTTTTAGTTTAAAGGAGATACATGTGCAGATTTGTTTCATGGGTATATAGCATGATGCTGAGGTTTGGGGTATGGATCCTGCCACCCAGGTAGTGAGCATAATGTCCAACAAATAGTTTTACAACCCATTTTCCCACTTTCTTTCTCCTGCCGCTAGTAGTTCACAGTGTCTATTGTTCCCATCTTTATGTCCATGAGTACCTAAAGTTTAGCTCCCATTTATAAGTGAGAATATTTGGTATTAGGTTTTCTGTTCCTGAATTAATTCACTTAGGATAATGGCCTCCATTTGCATCCATGTTGCTGCAAAGGACATGATTTTGTTCTTTTTATGGCTGCATAGTATTCCATGGTGTATACGTACCACATTTTCTTTGTTCGGTCTACCATTGATGGGTATCTAGATTGATTTCATGCTTTTGCTATTGTGAATAGCATTGTGATAAATATACGAATGCATGTGTCTTTTTGGTAGAATGATGTATTTTCCTTTGGGTATATACTGGATAATGGAGTTGTTGGTCGAATGGTAGCTCTACTTTACATTCTTTGAGAAATCTCCAAATTGCTTTCCACAGTGGCTGAACTAATTTACAATGTATCAACAGTGTACAAGTGTTCCCTTTTCTCTACAGCCTCACCAGCATCTGTTATTTGACTTTTTAATAATAGCCACTCTGACTGGTGTAAGATGGTATCTTATTGTGATTTTAATTTGCATTTTTCTGATGATTAGGGATGATGAGCATTTTATCTTATGTTGGTTGGCTGCTTGTTTGTCTTTTGAGAAGTGTTTGGTCATCCCTTTGCCTATTTTTCAGTAGGGTTATTTGTTTTTTGCTTGTTGATTTAAGTTTCTTACAGTTTTACAGTTATGGATATTATACCTTTGTCTGATGTATAGTTTGTGAATATTTTCTCTCATTCTGTAGGTTTTCTGTTTACTCTGTTGATAGATTATTTTGCTGTGCAGAAGCTCTTTAATTACGTCCTTCTTGTTAATTTTGTTTTTGTTGCAATTGCTTTTGGGGACTTAGCCAAAAATTTTTTACCAAGGCCTAGGTCAAGAAAGGTATTTCCCAGGTTTTCTTCTAGGATTTTTATAGCTTGAGGACTGACATTTTAATCTTTAATCTATCTTGAGTTAATTTTTATATATGGTGAAGCTGGGATCTAGTTTTATTCTTTCGTATAACAGTATCTTTTTTTAAACATTTTTTCCTGACTCAAATCTTTCTCATTCTCTCTCTTTTTCTCATTCACCCTTTATATAATTTCAACATCCTTGTTAATCATAAGATATTCACAAATTATGTCTTTTTATAAACATCTTTATTATATGACTCTTGCAAACCTTTCCAGATTCGTTGCAATGTCAGTTCACTCTCCTGCACTGTAGGCCGCTTGTGATTCCCTGAATTTGCCCTTTTTTTCCTTGCCTTTGTAGATTGCTGTTCACTCTCTTTGGATTGCAGATTGCTGTTTACTCTCTTTGCAGAAGCTTATGGTCATTTTAGTCTGTCAAATTCTTGTTTTTCCTCTAAAATATTATTTAATTGCTTCCCTTTCTGCAGAGCACTCCTTAATACCTGCAGATTTAGTTTATGGCACACCCTCTATACTCTCTTAGCACTTATTCTATTACTTCATAGGGAAATACTCTAGATTCCAATTATTCTAAATTTCAATTATTTTCCTGCATATCTATCTTCTTTATCTTGTATGCTTCTTGAAGTGGGATAATGTCTTGTTTATTTTTAAGATATCCAAATCCTTGATTTTTGTAAACAGTATTTTATTATTTTTTGAATGAGGCACATTTTGAGTAAAACATAAAGGAGGCAGTCTTGGGGTAAAAAGGCAATAACTTAATAGAAGAGCTCAATCAGCTTGTTGCAAACTACTCCTCAGTTACCAAGCCAGTTTCACCTAGTTTAGAATTTTATTATAGCAGCACAAAACATCAAGATGCCACTTTCCATATTGTTAAGCTGGGGCACACTGTGGGTCCAAGGAAACCAAATAAACCCCCAAATTGCATGACTTAGTACACAGACGATTATTTCTTGCTCAGATAAAATTAAAGATAGGTGTTCTGAGGTTTTTCTTTTCAGTGACTCAGGATCCAGGTTCCCTCCATTTTGATGCTGTCAATTTAATATCTAACTTTCTAGAACTCAGTGACAAAAACAATTATTATTTAATTTTATATGTGAAAAAAATTGAGAGATTTTTACAGGTTGCGTTAGACCACTTACTAGTAAGTAAAAACTCAGGCAGTTTAGCATGAGAGTTCAGATACTCAGAATAATACATATCAAAAGACTTCTATTCATGCATATATTCATATCTTTACATCTCTTATTTTTACTCATTTTTATCTACCAGTCTGAAAGCCCTTTGAGTGCAAAAGTTAGTCTTCAACTTCTCAGTACTTAGCACAAAACCTAATGAGTGGTCAATAAAATTAATTTAGATTCAAATTAATTTGTTTGGTGGCATTGCCATGGGAGTGCTAAGGGATGCTAAATAAATGGGAGAGGTACAGTTTTTTGCATGGATTTCCTAGCCTATTGAAAGAAACATAAAAATTATTAGTTTATAATTAAATGAACTGGGTATTGTACATTACATCCCAAATAATTTTAGTATATTTCTACGCATGGTGAATTCATTCAGCTTAAAAAGTTTAAAAACTTTTGTTTTTGAAATTTTATGATTGGCAAAGTTATCTGATAATTGAAGTATAACATTGAAGTCAGGGAACTAACAAAACCTGCATAGAGTTCGCTGCTGAGGACTCAAAGAGCATTGTGATTAGGAAAACAATTTTTAAAAGCCTGAAAATTAAATGTACACACATGCACACATGCAATGCTTAAGTGAAACCTAAAATGGTTCAAAATCAATGGTCTTAATTGGCAGCCGATTCAACTACATTGCAGCCCAGAAATGTCTAGTTTCTATATTTAATAATACGAAGTTGCAATTATATAAACTCTGCCCAGTTTGTGTAACATTGAAGAAAAGGCAATATTTCCAGCTAGATTTTTATCTGTTGTAACTTTTGTCTATGATTTCTTAGACTTAATAAATATGCAAACTGATTAAAAATTAAAACCTTAGGCTTTAGGCCAGGCAATGGCTCATGCCTGTAATCCCAGCACTTTGGGAGGCAGAGGCGGTGGATCCCTTGAGGTCAAGAGTTCGAGACCAGCCTGGGCAACATGATGAGACCCTGTCTCTACTAAAGATACAAAAATTAGCCAGATATGGTGGTGTGTGCCTGTGGTCCCAGCCACTCCAGAGGCTGAGGTGGGAGAATTGCTTGAACCCTGGAGGTGGAGATTGCAGTGAACCCAGATTATGCTACTGCACTCCAGCCTGGGTGACAGACCAAGATTCTGTCTCACAAAAAGAAAAAGAAAAACAAAAACAAAAAACCTTAGGATTTACAGTTATGTCTCAGATTCTTGATTGTTGTTTTCATATCTTGAAACATGAGAAAATTAATAATTTCATGACATTGCCATTGTATGGATTAATGAAATATCTTATGTAAACACAGAACACATTCCTGACATATATTTATTAAGAGATAAAATAGTAGTAATTATTTTTGTTACTAGGTAATAAACTATTTTTAGCACCAGTTGTTGTTTGTGTAATTTTAAAGATCTTTATTTAATCTTTTGCTTATTAATATTATTTAGTCCTTCATTGCTTTTAAAAGGAACAATGAAACAATGACGATGCTGCTTCTTAAATGACCATCAACCCTGTTTCCTTATAGCACCACCAATAATGTTTTTCCTTATTCCTGTTGGCCTGGTACCTAAACTGAAGATTAACTAGAAAACAAAAGTGTACGGAGGAGCCACAGTATTACAATAAGAAAATAAACTGAAGAAGATTGCTATACCTTCACTATTGTAGATGCATTTAGCATTTACTTGATTTACTTTGTGGAAAATATTAAATATTTCTTATTAGATATTGTAATGCTTTATAGTATAAAGTTATATATCTATACAAATATATAAATAAATGTTACCAAATATTTTATATTATATATTTATATATATTTATATTATTTATAATATAAAATTTATATATAAATTTTATATTATAAATAATATAAAATTTATATATTTTATATTATATATTTGTATTTTATATTAATATAAACCAAATAGTTTATATTAAATTATATATTCAAATAATAGTAATACTGCTTAGTTAATAATATTACAAACCATATCAGGCTTATTTTTAATTCCTTTACTTAGTTTATTAAAATTAAATTTATGTTTGCTATGACACACTAAATAAGAACTTATTTTTTTAGAAAACAAACACTTTTTCTCATTGGAATACACTATATGGATTTTTTAAATGTTTTTCTTAATTTTCATCCTTGGGCATTAATGAGACTCACAAATCATAATGAGAACATGCATATCCTAATTTTGAAAATAGTAATGTTATATAAGGTAATACATCTTAATAGGTACAAATTATTGATACATTAATTGAATATATTTGTCTTCTATTTATAACCAATAAAAGTTCTTGGTTATAAATATGTTATGAAAACTATATTTTCATGACACAGAGGATACATGAACAAAAAGATTTGCAATTCTTTGAAATGTTTTCAAGGAAAACTCAGAAAGAAGAAAAACAAAGAAGAATTTGCATTGGATTCCATTTTAACTTTTTTTTCAATTTTTTTAACATTATAAAATTTCAGGGCTAAATAGTAAAATATTTTCTTGTAATTAACTTAAGTGGTGACTGACTATAAGTTGCCATGTGACCTAATGTATGGTTTTCTGTGTGGAAAAATAGTGAGAAAGAGGCAATAGGTTTTTCAAGTGAAAAGACGTTTATCATTGGGGAAAGAAAAGCTACCAAATTACAGGCAAAATATTATTACTCAGTTCTTTGTTGAAGAAAAGACCATCTTTCAAATTGATCATCTGTTATTGCAAGCATTAAAATAATATAACATATTTCTGAATTCAATCTTACATTCTAATTTCACATGATATTTAGGAAATAATGTACACTTATATGAACTAATCACTACTAATGAAACTGATGTGTCCTACAGAAAGTCTATTTGCAGGCACTTATTTCAGTTAGCTAATGTAGAGAGGCTGCATTTAGAATTAGCAATAGAATTTTGGATCTGGAAAACCAGTATTTTCTTCTTTTAATTTTGTTTATTATGATTTACTTTCTAGGCCTCATTGACAAATTACTTTAGAATGAACTTAATATTTATGGACTTGGATCCTAGATTGACAGAAATACTATAATTTCATTAGTGCAAAAAAATTTCATTTTTACTTTTATATTTCATCAGGGAGCTACAATTTTTAAAAATCCACTGAAAAGTTGGGTTTTTGCTTCAGTAAGATGTTAGAGACAAAGGCTTCCTTGCCAAAAAGAAATAGAATTAATATCTTAGTTCGATTTCAGAATGAAAGTAGAGAAAAAATATCTTTGACATCAGACTATGGAAGGCTATTTTATCTCTATTCAATCTTATACATATTTGTGAGATGTAATAATTACAATGACAAGGGGGTTCACTCAACCCTTAAAGACTAGTGAACACAGAAACAGGAAAGATAATAGAGAATTATCTATTAATACGGTTTCATGTAGAATGAAGAATTCATTGGTTTTCTAGGTAGGAATCTAGGCTAGAAACAAAAACACTAAAGAGTACCTAGGGGCAATGAGTGTGATTTAATGCAATCTTGTCAGAACATATGCAAGAGAATATTCAAATGTAATTATAGGTGTCATCTCTATTGAATCACAGTTTGCAGAATCCATTTGGAAAGCATTGCTAAGAATTTCTTTTATAAATTAAATGTTTCTGTCACTATCATAAAGAGAAAGTAAATATTAAGGAATAAGAAAAAACTTTCAATAGCAAGGCAACTTAAAATTCCAAGCTTTCTTCAAATTAATTATGCCTTTATTTGGACAAGACTGGATAAATAAACATAAAACAATAATTTTCCCTAAGAAATGAGTAGCAATTTGTTCATCAAAGACAGGCAATTTATTATATAGTATATTTAAAACATTTCAAAATTCAATTTGTTATGAATTAATTAGCAATTGTATACCACGTCTGAGTCTATGCAGAGGAAAATGGGGGAATTTAAACAAATTAAAAATGTATCTTTTGGTAAAAAATTAAGTACTTTCATATGATTAACCAGATTATTGAGTCTACAATATTTCTATCTTGAACAGTTCCACTTTTTATTTTATTTTAAAAAGAAAATTTAGTTAATCAGGTAGGAAGATGATGGTAATTAAACATAATTCAAATCCTGGAAATGGATAAATATAAAAATAAATTTCAGGCCAATCTGTAAATTGTCGAGGACTTTCTTGGAAGCAAAAATTTCATGAACAGTAAACAGTAATATGTAAGAAAATTATGTTATGAAACTTCTGCTTTTGATTACTCAAACCGTATACAATTAACCAAAACCATCAAATGTTACGGGAAATCCTAATTTCTTCTCACATACTTTCTTGAAAGAGTAAAAATTTTTCAAGAATTTTTCAGTAAAATATGTATAATCCCAACTCATTGAGCAATTACATGTAATTTTTAAAAAATAACAAAACTTTTACCCTAAAATCCAGTTAATTCTCAAGAGTTTTCTCAGTATTTAACATGAATGAATTCACCATAAATGCTATTTATTATGAATTCAATTACCATATGTCTCCATCTGTTCAGCATGCAATAAAAAAAAATCACATATTCGGTGGCTTAAACAATAGACATTTATTTTCTCACAGTTCTGGAGGCCAGAAGTCTGAGATCAGGATGCTAGCCTTTTTAGGTTCCAGTGAGGGCCCACTTCCTAACTTGCAGACAACCACTTCTGTGCTATATCCTCACATGGCAAAGACAAAGTAAGCCTTCTGGTGTCTCTTTTCACAAGGACAGTCATCTCATTATGAGGGATCCACCCTTATGATCCCATCTTACCCTAACTTCTTCCCAGAAGACCTAGTTCCAAATACCACAACATCAATGGTTAAGGCTTCAACATACGAAATTTGGGAGAACACAATTCAGTCCATAACACTATAACTTCCTCACACTGAGTAAATTGAAAGTTGAAAAAGGAGTCATTCATTTAATCTGTTCATTGTCCTCTTGATAATAAGGGGAATTAAAATAACCCATTGTTTTATATATAGTATTTTACACTACAGTTGTTCTGTAATAAAGGAGAGGTCAAGGAGAGGCAAGTGCAAATGTGAGTGAGAGCTTGTCAATGAAAAAAGGACCATTTAGTTGGCTCTACTATAAAAATAAATATTTTTAGTAGCAAATTGACTTCAAAGAACAACATATTAAACATATTTGCTATTTGTTATAAAAGCAATTATCTGGTATTGAAAATATTTTTCTTAGTGGAGAATAAAAGCATACTCTTACTGGTATTGATAATATTTTCTTTAATTTTTACCAAAAGATTTTATCAGCAAACCCTATGTGTACGCACCTTAGACAGTATTAGACTGCAGTTTTAAGAAAGATAGTGCCAGTTTCATTTTGACCAGAAAAAAATAAAAACCTATGACATAATTAGTGTTTTATCAATAGTAATTTAGGTTTATGTCCTACTCGTTAGAAAGATATTTGCTTTAAACTTTTACATAGTATATATTTTAACTTTAGGCCATTATCATCCAGTAGAAAAATACTGAAACCACATATGTAATTTTGAATTTTCTAAATATAATATTTCTTAAAAGCCAATAAAGGAGGTAGAATTATTTTTAATATATAACATTTAAATAATATGTATTTAACATTATTTCAACATGCAATCCAAGATTATTGAAATAATTCATATATTCTTACATTAAGTCTACAAAATTCAAAATACAGTGTCTATTTTACATTTACAGCAAATGGCATTTGAACTAGTCAAATTTTAAATACTCCTATTAACCATCTGCACCTCCCCGCTGGTAACCCTATTATTTGATAGTACAACACAGTCACTATAGTCAATAATAACTTAGTTGTATATTTTTAAATGACTTAAAATGTAACTGAATTATTTGTAACTCAAAGGATAAATGCTTGAGGGAATGAATATCCCATTCTCTATGATGTGCTTATTTCACATTGAGTGACTGTATCAAAACAACTCATGTATCCCATAAATATACACACCTACCATGTACCCACAAACATTTAAAAAATGATTTAAAAATTAAACATAAAAAACAAAGTTTAAATGTTAAATAGCTATATTTGACTAGTGGCTGCTGCATTAGAAAATACTGCTTTGTGCTATGCATTTAAAAGACATATATGTTTTAATAATATTCACATAAATTACAGGCTGAAGGGAAAATATACAAGTCTAATAATATACGTAGCTACAGCACTTTTCCAGAATTAATCACGTGTAATTAAAGTTATGAAGTTGTTCTGACATGGTACAAAATGGACGAAAAATGCTTTAAAGAAAATGTAGAATTTAACAATATAACTACATCATCTTAGGATAGTATGGTCTTATTTTGTGTGGCTACTCATTGTGGATACTATGAGATCTACATTCTGTACTACATGCTATTTTCACCATTGCAATGAGTGAGATAATCCAATAAATTCCCTTAGCTGGTTAAGGTAATTGAATGTTTGAAGAATATTTTGTTGCACACTGATGTGGATATTTCCAAAGGCTGTACTTATTTAAAATCTTTTGGGCAGAGCAAAGCACTAGGAAATTATCTTTTTATTTGGGATAAAACCCAGTGGGATTTGTCAGGAGAAGATTGGGCAGGGTGAATAAATTGAGTCTATTTGCCCTGTTTCAGCCAACAAAGAAAGTTGTGCCTAATTGTATAATCTTGATATATTCCTTGTTTAATGTTGATAATACTGTAAGGTGATAATGATTGATATTCAACTGTGAATTACAAAGGAATGTAATACTTTGGATGTTTTCACTTTGAGTTTTTTCCTTCATAGTTAGTAAAACTTCTGTGATTGTATATGTACAGTTTTTATTTTTACCATTTTTATTATTCAATTTATTTGTCATATTTCTTTCTTATATGTTTGTTAATGTTTTGCAATCAATGTAGATTAATCTTGGATTAGCTTTCCAGCTCATAACTGCTTGCTTTATTAGATTAGCCCCCCCACACAGAAAAGCAGGTCCCAGTTGTCATGTACATTGTAATCTTCCTAATTGGCTATCTGTAATTAACTCCGAGGTAGGTATCTAATCTAAATGGGCCAATCAGATTCTGAGTCAAAGTAAAACAAACAAACAAACAAATAAAAACACCTATTACTAACCACTGATAAGCATTGAAATGTCACTAGAGCTGAACTTCATTTTACAGGTTCTGGAGAAAAAGTCCAAAAAGTCCATAACTACTGAATTATCTTGTAGGAATCTGGTTTTCCCATATTCTTAGCTATAATAGTTCAGCAATTCAGCTATTCCTTATAATATGTCTAATGTCCCAGAACCCTACCAATAATTTGCTTCATTAATTGAAGTAGCCAGAAAAATTTTCTGTTATCTCTACCCAAGATAAATTTAACTAACTCATAAATTGAGACCAGGTGTATTAGTCAGGGTTCTACTGTTTTTCAAGCCAGATGCTTCCAGATGGTGAAAAACATTAGAATTATTAGAAATAGAATAAGAACTATAGGAAATATGTGTATTTAGAATTGGTTATGGAATTCATATGGGCAAAAGACAATGTGTCTTTCCTCTAAATTACAAGATGGGATACTAATAGCCCTTATTATGCAGTAAGGGCAATCTTGAAACATGAGCATCAAGGGCTAAGTTAAAAAGGGATCAGGTTTTGGAAGTAAAATGAAGTGTTACAAAGTGAATTGTGTTCCTTAAAGTTCATATCTTAATGCCCTAACCTTCAATGTGATTCTATTTAAAGGTAAGACTTTTAGGAGGTGATTAAGATTAAATGAGGTCATAAGGGTGGGGTCTAATCTGATGGAAATGGTGGCTTGATAAGAAAAGGATAGATCCCTCACTCTGTCCTTGAACATTCACCTAGGAGAGGCAATGTGAGCACACAGCGAGAAGTCATCAGTCAGGAAGAGAGCCCTCACCAAAAACCTAATCATAATCGCCCTTGACCTAGGACTTCCATTCTCCAGAACTGTGAAAAAATAAATTTCCTTTGTTTGAGTTACTCAGTCTGTGAGACTTTCGTTATGGCACACCTAGCAGAGTAAGAAGTTGAGTAAGGTCAATTGGCGCTGATTCTAAAAAAAGAGTAGACTCTTTAATTGACCATACCTTCATTAACCTAAAACATGAATAAGAGGAGACGAAGACATTCCTTCATTACAGATGATCATTTAGATGAAAACAATATGTTCCCATAAAGAAAGATAGTGCCGTATTTTAGCATATTTTTAGTTCCAATGATTATTTTAATTACTATGCACATCTTTGTACAGCTTTTGATTTTGTTTCATGGTAAGATAAATGACTCTCAATATAAGTCCCAAAAAGAAAGCTCGTTAACATTCAGAATACTCTGTGTAAGGTTTTTTTTGGTAATGGCTTTTCTCTGGATACACGGCAAAGACTGAATAAGGTGCTAACCAGTGAGCAAAAGATTATATCCTCCCTTTCTAAAATTATTTTTCATAGAATGTCATTTCAATAACCAGAAGATACTACATTGCAATGTCATAAAATACACAAAGGTAGTCTTGATTTTGTAACAAAAATAGTACCCTGGATTAATTCTTCTGTAAGTCATATACAATAAAGAAATTTTAAACAACAATAATTATAATGAATGATAAAAACACTTGCTGAACTTTAAGAGAAGAATACAGAAAAGGAAAAGAAAAAGACAAGGATATGTTTGTTGGCCATGTAAATGCCTTCTTTTGAGAAGTGTCTGTTCACATCCTTTGCCTACCTTTTGATGGAGTTGCTTGTTTTTTCTTGTAAATTTGTTTAAACTCCTTGTGAATTCTGGACATTAGATCTTTGTCAGGTGAATACATTGCAAAAAGTTTCTCCCATTCTGAAGGTTGCCTGTTTACTCTGATGATAGTTTCTTTTGTTCTGCAGAAGCTCTTTAGTTTAATTAGATCCCATTTGTCAATTTTGGCTTTTGTTACAAATTGGCGTTTTGTCATTGCTTTTGGCGTTTTCGTCATGAAGTCTTTGCCCATGCCTATGATCTGAATGGTATAGCCTATGTTTTTTTCTAGGGTTCCTATGGTTTTGGGTTTTACATTTAAGTCTTTAATGTATCTTGTGTTTTTTTTTTCATAAAGTGTAAGGAAGGGGTCCAGTTATAGTTTTCTGCATATGGCTACCCAGTTTTCCCAGCACCATTTACTGAGCAGGTTTGTCGAAGATCAGATGGTTGTAGATGTGTGGTGTCATTTCTGAGATCTCTGCTCTGTTCCATTGGTCTATATGTCTGTTTTGGGACCAGCACCATGCTGTTTTGGTCACTGTAACTTTGTGGTATAGTTTGAAGTCAGATAATGTGATGCCTTCAGCTTTGTTCTTTTTGCTTAGGATTGTCTTGGCTATACAGGTTCTTCTTTGATTCCATATGAAATTTAAAATAGTTTTTTTTTCTAATTCTGTGAAGAATATCAGTGGTAGTTTGATGGAAATAGCATTGAATATATAAATTACTTCCGGCAGTATAGCCATTTTCACGATATTGATTCTTCCTATCCATGAGGATGGAATGTTTTTTCCTTTGTTTGTGTCCTCTCTTATTTCCTTGAGCAGTGGTTTGTAGTTCTCCTTGAAGAGGTCCTTCATATCCCTTGTTAGCTGTATTCCTAGGTATTTTTTCTCTTTGTAGCTATTGAGAATGGGAGTTTATTCATGATTTGACTCTCTGCTTACCTGTTGTTGGTGTAAAGGGATGCTTGTGAATTTTGCACATTGATTTTGTATCCTGAGACTTTGCTGAAGTTGCTTATCAGTTCAAGAGTTTTTGGGCTGAGATGATGTGGTTTTCTAAATATAAAAGTATGTCATCTGCAAACAGAGACAATTTGACTTCCTCTCTACCTATTTGAATACCTTTTATTTCTTTCCCTTGTCTGTTTTGCCCTGGCCAGAACTTCCAATATGATGTTGAATAGGAATGGTGACAGTGGGCATCCTTGTCTTGTACCAGTTTTAAAAAGGAATGCTTCCAGCTTTTGCCCATTCAATAAGATATTGGCTGTGGGTTTGTCATAAATAGCTCTTATTGTTTTGAGATATGTTCAGCATCACTGATCATCAGAGAAATGCAAAGCAAAACCACAATGAGATACCATCTCATGCCAGTCAGAATGGTGATTGTTAAAAAGTCAGGAAACAATAGATACTGATAAGGCTCTGGAGAAATAGAAACACTTTTATACTGTTGGGGGAAATGTAAATTAGTGCAATTATTGTGGAAGACAGTATGACAATTCCTCAAGGACCTAGAACCATAAATACCAATTGACCCAGCAATCCCATTACTGAGTATATGCCCAAGGGAATATAAATCATTCTACTGTAAAGACACATGGACACGTATGTTGATTGCAGCACTTTTTGCAATAGCAAAGTCATGGAACCAACCCAAATGCCCATCAGTGATAGACTGGATCAAGAAAATGTGGTACATATACAGCATGGAACACTATGCAGCCATAAAAAGGAATGAGATTATATCCTTTGCAGGGACATGGATGAAGCTGGAAGCCATCATCCTCAGCAAGCTAACACAGGAACAGAAAAGCAAACACTGCACATTCTCACTCATAAGTGGGAGCTGAACATTGAGAACACAGGGGCACAGAGAGGGGAATCATACACACCAGGGCCTGTTGGGGGATCGGGGGCTAGGAGAGTGAACTTAGAGGACAGGTCAACAGGTGTAGCAAACCACCATGGCAAATGTATACCTATGTAAGAAAACTGCAAGTTCTGAACATGTGTCTTTATTTTTAGAAGAAATAATAAATGAATAAACCATTAACAGAAAGAAGAAAAAAGGATCAATGATATAGAATGAGAGTACATAAGGAAGGTCTACAACAGGCATTCTTTAGCAAGAACAAAATGTGTGTTACTTTTAAAAAGAGATATACGTTATTATAATAGTATACCTAAGTAAGTAATGTGTTGTCAGAATATTTAATTGCAATATAACAATGATTTGTAGATATTTCCATTGTCTTATTCATAAAATAAATTTCAACTCTACTTTCCTGACAACCCTTCTGCTAACGCAGGTTATAATTTCAAAGCGCACCTAACTCACATCTCAAAAATTCTAACCTGGGTAAATATGCCAAAATTGAGGAGCCATCACTATCAATAAAGATAGAATATTGCTAAAATCAATGTCCATTTTTATGATGAGAGAAAATAAAATCTAGATGGAAGTGATAGAATTAATGGGCCCATGAAAGTTATTTACAAAGGAAATAAATCCACCAAGAGGTGTTAAACATATGTTTTTAAAGAACACCTGAGATATGAAAGTTTTGGAGGCAAGTATAAAGAAAAATAATCAAGACTCAGAATGAAGTCCACTGTAAGTTATGAACCCTGAACAGATGAAAGCATAATTGATATTACTGCATATGTACCCATAATTTATTTTTATACTAGATTTGTTTCATAAAAAGATGATTTTTACTATGATAAGTTACTTCAGGTCTGTAGCAGAGATGCATGTCCCTTTCTGGAATTTATTTATTTTATTTTTATGTAGAGATGAATTTAATTTTTAGAATTTGCAGCTTTTTGTCTAATAAAATTATATAACCGGAGACAACAACATATTTTATGTCACTCAGAAGAAAATGTCAGAAGATGAAGTATAGTTTTTCATGTTTTTAATTACAAAATGGAGACATAACACCTTCTGTATTGTTATAATATATTCATTAAATTCCATGTGATTTGAAAAATATAAAGCAATAATTTAAAAATATTTTCAAATAATTATAATTTAAAATATCTTACTATCACTGCATTGCATTTAGTTACATTAAGTATACCTTTAGCATAATATTTATTTTTGGTAAAAGAATCAATTTTGCCCTTTTCTACTATTAAAAATATGTTAGCAATCATTTTGATGAACATAAATAAGAACAAACATTTGAAAAACATCTTGCAAACACCAGAAACAAAAACAGAGTAACTCCTTATCTAGTAAAATATTTAAATAGTTTTTTGGGGCTTAATTTTTCTAAATAGTAAGAAGTCCCCTGTGCAATCCTTATTCCTAATTTGGTGATGGAGCCCCGTTGTGGTGGTGGGCCAAAGCCATCAGTTATTAATATCTGAATCTACAGTTGTTGACTTGCTTGAATCTCTACTTTCTTCTTCCAGTGAGGCAGAATTTATGAATTTCAGTTTTCCAAGCACCATCAGAGGACAAAACAAACATAGAGATAAAATTACATTGAGTCTTAAAAAATAGGTTATACATAGGTAGAAAAAGAAAAGAAAGGATAAAACAGGCAAGTGCAGTAGCAAGAACACAGGCAAAAGACAGAGATGTCCGTGGTGTATTCAGCAGTGAGTAAACAGCCTGGACTAGCATAAGGTGCACATAATATCAAATTTCAAAAGGCCTTGAATACTAGACAAGCAGCATTCACTTTTATCCTAAGGCTAGTACAGAATTATTAAATATTGGGATAAAGTGCTAAGAATATAAATGGTTTAAGTTTAATTTTTAAAAATTACTGCTGTAAACTTAGGTACTACCTCTATCTAGATTGCCATTCTTCACTTTCTTCTGTCAACATTTGCATGAATTGCAGCAAGGTGACATTGGTAGTGCAGAGATTGATTTAAAAAGCAATTGCCCTAGTCTAGGTATGAGGTATTGAAGAACAAATTAACAAGAATTGATACAGATAATTTGGAGGGAAAGAAGACTCTCTAGGAATGAGAAAATTAGGACATCTTTGACAGAAATGACTTCCTAGCTAAGGAAAGGAAGAATAACAGAAGGTAGTTAAGAGAAATGCAGAATTGATTATAAAGACAGGAAGAGAATAAGAACAATACTTATCAAAAACAGAAAGATATCTTTAATTTAGAAACTGCCACCATAATTTATCCAATATGTAACTTTGATTTTAGTTAATGTAAGGCTGAGTGACTATCTTGAACTGAAATGCTTTGCCTAAAAATGTAACAGGATTTGGGTGAGAGTTGGTGTGGCAGGGGAACCTCCACTGAAGATGATATGAGAGGATTTCCTGTGGCAAGGATAGTCAAATGCTAGAAGTGGTGATGTCTAATATTCAGGGCTATACTAGTTGTTATGTTGTCTTACATGGAAATACCCCTCTATACTCTCAACATAATTAGCACATACACTTCTCAGGAAGGTGCTCAACATTGTGAAATGGTATTTAAGGATAGAGTGGGAAGAGAGGCATGATATAAGAGAGCTAAGGCTAAAAAATTCATAGAAGCAAGAAATTCTAAACTGAGATGATTTGGAGATATATAGACCATCAATAATTTTTACAGACTCTAGAGAATGAGTGTAAATTCAAAGATCTTTATTTAAATATGAATGTATTAGCTGATCTCCAGTACTCTGGAGGACACTACAAATATTCTGTCACTGGACTTTGAAGTAAAAGTGAAATCTTAGTCCTAGACCAGAGAGAATTGATGATGAATTAATAGTAAAAGGATAATAAGTTGGGAAAATACAAAATGCACAAAGAAAGTCAAAGGCAAATGTGTCAAACAAAATTCTATAGGAGTTGAAAAAAGGAAAAGGAATAAATATCCTAAAACCCTGAGGTTGCAGTGGAGAAATGTGATGAACAACAGCAACATAGGCAACAACGCTCTGAGATGGTAGGCCAGGATGGTAATAAGAGTAGGAAAGCAAATCTCTAGATGTATTTTATGATTTAGATTAAGCAAATAACTTCCTCCCCTCATAGTATTGTTAGGTATTTATATACTGAAATAAATGTCTGATTGGTTTAAGACACCAAGATAATGAAGCTTTACAGAAGTTTCAGTCTAAATCAGTAATTTGGACTTTGTTGAAAGAAAGAATAATTTGAAACAGCTATTTATTTTTTCTTATTTTGTGGCAGTGGTGATTTAATATGGAAATAGAAGAAAAAAACAGAAGAAATGGATAAATTCCTGGACACATAACCCTCCCAAAACTAAACCAGAAAGAAGTTGAATCCCTGAATAGACCAATAACAAATTCTGAAATTGAGGCGTAATTAATAGCCTATCCACCAATAAAAGCCTAGGACCAGATGGATTTACAGTCAAATTCTACCAGAGGTACAAAAGGGAGCTGGTACTACTCCTTCTGAAGCTATTGCAAAGAATTGAAAAGAAGGGACTCCTCCCTAACTCATTTTATGAAGCCAGCATCATCCTAACACTGAAACTTGGCAGAAACACAACAGTAAAAACAACAAAACTTCAGGCCAATATCCCTGACGAAGATTGGTGCAAAAATCCTCAACAAAGTACTGGCAAATCAAATGCAGCAGCACATCAAAAAACTTATCCACCACAGTCAAGTCAGCTTCATCCCTGGGATGCAAGACTGGTTCAACATACACAAGTCGGTAAGTGTAATTCATAGCATAAACAGAATCAAAGACAAAAACCACATGATTATCTCAATAGATGCAGAAAATTCAACACCCCTTTATGTTAAAAACTCTCAATAAATTAGGTATTGATGGAACATATCTCAAAATAATAAGAGCTATTTATGACAAACTCACAGCCAATATCTTATTGAATGGGCAAAAGCTGGAAACATTCCCTTTGAAAACTGGTACAAGACAAGAATCCCCTCTCTCATCATTCCTATTCAACATCATATTGGAAGTTCTGGCCAGGGCAATCAGGCAAGATAAAGAAACAAAACCTATTTGAATAAGAGGAGAAGTCGGATTGTCTCTATTTGCAGATGACATGATTTTATATATAGAAAACCCCATCATCTCAGCCCCAAAACTCTTTTAGCTGATAAGCAACTTCAGCAAAGCCTCAGGATACAAAATCAATGTGCAAAATTCACAAGCATCCCTTTACACCAACAACAGGCAAGCAGAGAACCAAATCATGAATAAACTCCCATTCACAATTGCTACAAAGAGAATAAAATACCTAGGAATACAGCTAATAAGGAATATGAAGGACATTTTCTAGGAGAACTACAAACCACTGCTCAAGGAAATAAAAGAGGACACAAACAAAGGAAAAAACATTCCATCCTCATGGATACGAAGAATCAATATCGTGAAAATGGCCATACTGCCCAAAGTAATTTATAGATTCAATGCTATTCCCATCAAACTACCATTGAAATTCTTCACAGAATTAGAAAAAAAACTATTTAAAATTTTATATGGAATCAAAGAAGAACCCGTATAGCCAAGACAATCCTAAGCAAAAAAAACAAAGCTGGAGGCATCACGCTACCTGACTTCAAACTATACTATAAGGCTACAGTGACCAAAACAGCATGGTACTGGTCCCAAAACAGACATATAGCCCAATGGAACAGAATGAGACCTCAGAAATAATGCCACACTACTACAATTGCCTGATCTTTGACAAACCTGACAAAAACAAGCAATGGGGAAAATGGTCCTAGAAAAACTGACTAACCATATATAGAAAATTGTAACTGGACCCCTTCCTTAGACCTTATACAAAAATTAACTCAAGATGGATTAAATACTTAAAGGTAAAACCCCAAAGCATAAAAATCCTAGAAGAAAACCTAGGCAATACCATTCAGGACATAGTCATGTGCAAAGACTTCATGACGAAAATGCCAAAAGCAATTGCAACAAAAGCCAAAATTGACAAATGGGATCTAATTAAACTAAAGAGCTTCTGCACAGCAAAAGAAACTACCATCAGAGTGAACAGGCAACCTACAGAATGGGAGAAAATTTTTGCAATCTACCCATCTGACAAAAGCCTAATATCCACAATTTACAATGAACTTAAACAAATTTACAAGAAAAAAAAACAACTCCATCAAAAAGTGGTCAAAGGACATGAACAGACACTTCTCAAAAGAAGAAATTTACATGGCCAACAAATATATGAAAAGAAGCTCAACATCATTGATCATTAGAGAAATGCAAATCAAAACCACAATGAGATACCATTGCATGCGAGTCAGAATTGGCAATTATTAAGCAGTCCAGAAGCAATAGATGCTGGTGAGGCTGTGGAGAAATAGGAACCCTTTTTCACTGTTGGAAATGTAAATTGATTCAACTATTGTGGAAAAGAGTATGGCCATTCCTCAAGGATCTAGAACCAGAAATACCATTTGACCCAGCAATCCCATTACTGGGTATATACCCAAAGGAATATAAATCATTCTACTATAAAGACACATTCACACGTATATTTATTGTAGCACCATTTGCAATCACAAAGTCATGGAACCAACCCAAATGCTCATCAGTGATAGATTGGATAAAGAAAATGTGGCATATATATACCATGGAACACTACACAGCCATAAAAAGGAATGAGATCATGTTCTTTGCAGGAACATGGATGAAGCTGGAAGCCATCATCCTCAGCAAACTAACACAGGAACAGAAAACCAAACGCCGCATATTCTCACTCATAAGTGGGAGTTGAACAATGAGAACACATCGACACAGGGAGGGGAACAACACACACCAGGGCCTGTTTGGAGGTGGGAGGTGAGGGGAGGGAATTTAGAGGACAGGTCAATAGGTGCAGCAAACCACCATGGCACATGTACACCTATGTAACTAACCTGAACATTCTGCACATGTATCCCAGAACGTAAAGTAAAATTTTAAAAAAAGGAAAATTATTTTCAAAATATATTTCTCAAAAATATAAGGAGGATATAATATCATTATTAATATATGATAGTTCACATATACATTATATATAATCATATATGTAATATATGATGGTATACATATAATAGTATATATGTTATATACTATAGTATACATATAGTATATATATTATTTAGTGTATATGTTATATATATATTGTGTGTATATATATAGTGTTTATGTGTGTGTGTATATATATATATATATAAAGTGACTATATATTATTCTAGAAATTAGTTAAGGTTGTTATTTTTATATAGTATATGTAATTCCTAACCCAATAAAGAATACATTGAGTTTTTGTTAAAGCAGACTTAAACACTAAAACACATTAGCTTTCATATATTTATATGAATTTTGCATATATTATAGAGCTTTTATAATGGATTGTGTAAAGCAGATTCACTGTGCACTGGTTACCACTTCAGCCTGCTACATCTTGGTCTGCAATTTCTACTACTTGCGTGAGTCCACTGAGACAGAACACTAAAACAAAAGGTTAACTGAAGCAATTTTATTACTCACTAAGCAGCAAGGAACAATGAAAGCCTAGGATTCATGATAAGCTGATTACTCAAGTCTTGGGAAAGCTGCTCAGGGCAGATGGATTATCATCCTTTTGTGCCCCATTTGCACACCACAGCTGAAGGAGCCCAGAAAGCAGTCCACCATAGGTTTTTTGTATCCTGCAAGTCACAAGAATCACTGGAATAAGGTTTTATAAAACATCCTGTTTTAGGAGGGACTGGAACAAAGCCTGGACCATTCCAGCCAACACCTCTTAGGATTTTGTATTCACAGTATATTCTATAATTGTTTTTGAGAATAGAGGCATAAAGGGAAGAGAACTGGATCAGTCTAAAGCCACCCAGTAACTATCCTGAAGATTGTGTTAACATGTTATTATATTTGTAGTTAATTGTAGTCACCTGGCAAGCAGCAAAAGAATAACCAGATAGCATTTGTGAAAATACAAATTCCTGGCCACAATATCTAGAAATTAATGTGCCTAGGTTTGGGTTCAGCCTCGGAACATTCACGGAATATCTAGGTGAGAAACCTAAAGCCAGAGAGGTTAATTTATTCCTTCAAGGTAGTGCAGCTAAATTGCATATCCTGATTCCCATGGCAAGTCTCTAATCTGAAACCTGGATGGTGATATAAGTTTCAAGTAGAAGAGATGCTCAAACAATAAAGTTGGTTTTGTTTTTATTTATTAATGCATTTTTAATTGACAAATAATCATTATGTATATTTATGGGGTACAATGTGATGTTTAGATCTATGTATGCATTCTAGAAAGATTCATTCAAGATAATGAACATATTAATCTCCTTACAAGCTTTTACATATAAACATACATATATGTGTATATATATGTACATATATATATAGTATATATATATATATATATAGTGATGAGGATGTTAAAAATCTATTCTGGCAATTTTGAGGTATGCAACACATTTTTATTAACTGTGGTCACCATGAATTGCAATACAGCACTAAAACTTATTCCTCCAGTCTAACTAAAACTTTATGCACTCTTATCAACATCTTCTTTTTTCCCTTTTTCCCCTCCCCCTTAGAGAGTAACCACCTTTTTACTTTTTTTGAGATTGACTTTCTTAGATTCCACAAATAAGTGACATTATATAGCACAAGTCTTTGTATGCCTTGCTTATTCACTTAGCATAATGTCCTCTAGTTCCATCCATGTTGTTGTGTATGACCGAATTTTCTTCTTTATTAAGGCTGTATAGTATTCTATTGTGTATATTTAGCACATTTTCTTTAACCATTCATCTGTTGATGGACACTTAGGTTGCTTTCATACCTTGGCTATTGTGAATAATGCTGAAATAAACATAGGAGGGAAGATACTTCTTCAACATACCAATTTTAGTTCTTTTGAATATATATCCAGGAATGAGATTGCCTGATCATATGGTAGTTCTATTTTTAGTTTTCTGAGGAAACGCCATACTAATTTCCAAAATGATTGTACTAATTTACATTCCTGTCAAAAGTGTACATGGGTTCCCTTTTCTCCACATTCTTCCCAACAGTTATTATTTATTGTTTTGATAATAGCCATTGAAACAAGTGTGAGGAGATAACTCATTGTTGCTTAATTTGCATTGCCTTGATAATTAAAGGTGCTGGGCATTTTTAAATATATTTTCATGGCCATTTATAACTCTTCTTTTGAGAAATGTCTGTTCAGATTTTTTGCCCATTTTAAAATTTGTTTATCTATTTTTTTGATGCTGAGATATTTGAATTTCTTATATATTTTGGATATTAGTCTCTTATTTGATGGATGGTCTGCAAATATTTTCTCCTAATCTGTGACTATCTCTTTGTGTCTGGAATTGGTTCCTTCTGGTGGGTTCTTGGTCTCCCTGACTTCAAGAATAAAGCCCCACACCCTCATGGTGAGTGTTACAGTTCTTAAAGATGGTGTGTCCAGAGTTTGTTCCTTCAGATGTTCAGATGTGTCCGGAGTTTCTTCTTTCTGGTGGGTTTGTGGTCTTGCTGACTTCAGGAGTGAAGCCACAGACCTTTGCAGTGAGTGTTACAGCTCTTAAAGGTGGCATGTCAGGAGTTGTTTCTTCCTTCTGGTGGGTTTGTGGTCTTGCTGACTTCAGAAGTGAAGCTGCAGACCTTCACAGTGAGTGTTACAGCTCATAAAGGTAGTGCGGACCCAAAGAGTGAGCAGCAGCAAGATTTACTGTGAAGAGAGAAAGAACAAAGCTTCCACAGTGTGGAAAGGGACCTGAGCGGGTTGCCGCTGCTGGCTGGGGTGGCCAGCTTTTATTCCCTTATTTGGCCCCACCCACATCCTGCTGATCGGTCCATTTTACAGAGTGCTGATTGGTCCATTTTACAGAGTGCTGAGTGGTGCGTTTTTACAGAGTGCAGACTGGTACGCTTACAAACCTTTAGCTAGACAAGAGCACTGACTGGTGCATTTTTACAGCATGCTGACTGGTGCATTTACAAACCTTCAGCTAGACACAGAGTGCTGATTGGTGCATTTTTACAGAGTGCTGATTGGTGTGTTTATAATCCTCTAGCTAGACAGAAAAGTTCTCCAAGTCCCCACCTGACCCAGAAGTCCAGCTGGCTTCACCTCTCATCTTCACTCTGTTAACTGTTTCTTTTGCTTTGTAGAAGATATTTAATTTGATACAATTTTATTTTTCCTTTTTTTGCTTTGGTTGTCAGTGCTTTTGAAGTTTTATCAAAGATATTCTCTCCCAGACTAATGTTGTGGAGTTTCTCCTCTATGTTTTCTTCTAGTAGATTTCTAGTTTCGAATCTTATGTTTAAATCTTTTATCCATTTTGAGTTGACTTTTGTCTATGATGTGAGATAAGGTTCCAATTTCATTCTTCTGCATGATATTATGTGTGAAATAAACAAGATGAAGGAAATTTCTGTGAACAATTAATATAAGGATTTAAAAAAATGTTGAAAACCTCAATCTCTTCACTCCACACTAAATCTTTGTAATGTATGCAATGAAAAATGTAATAAATTACATTTATTGAAGCTCTTCTATATAGAATCTTTAAACTTCTAAAATTTTCTAGAATAGAACAAGTTATACATCAGAGCAAAAACACATTAACTCTGCCTATTGGGGGTAGATAAAACACACTAATCAACAGATGTTATTAATAGGTCTTATATATTATCTGTTCAAACCTATGAGTAAACAGGAAGTCTAAATCTATCCATTTATATCTTAATTTGAATGAACCAAGTATGTAATATAAAATTATAGATATTTTAGGGGGAATTGAGGATACACTGGTTAGATATGAAATAATGCCAAGGAATTCGTCTTAATTTTCTTAAGTATAATAATGACATTGCCGTTATATAAGCATTTTTTTCATGGAATTCCAAAAAACAATTTTTCCTACATTGTTACAAATAGTATAAATATTTTAAGATTTGAGAATTTGGTAGATATTTATATTTGTAATAAATATTTTGAGCAAACTCATTTTTTAAATTTGCAGTTTATTTAAAACTTCCAGTTGGTGATCTTTTTACAAATCTGAGAAATAAATATGTAAGAGCATTTTCAGTAATAAAAGAGATTGTAAAAAAAGTACACATTTAACTGTCTTATTCTAACTACTTTCCAATTTCCCTTGCTTAGATATGCATGCAGAATTGTGAATTGTTCTTTATTAAACATTATATAGGTTTAATGTGTTATATTAAACATTGTAGTGCTAAGTCAATGCTTATTTCTTTTAAGTGCCTTTGTTTGTGCACTGCACAGGTAAACATAGGGTAAACTTGAGTGTTTTATCTCAGTGAAAGGATGTAGTTAGAAATCTACTTGATCTGAGTCTGTTTACTGTGACTGACGTGTCAGCCAAAATGAAAGATATCTTGTCTTCATGGAGCCTAGTCAAGGAGCCTGAAACTGTGGAGATCCAGACGACCATTTTCAGACTTGTTGAGGCACATTGCTATCTTGAACCAAAGAAGTATTTTGTGAAAAAAGAAAAAAAACGTGGAAATATTATTTCATTTTTCAAAGAATGTTAAATACCTTTGACTTCATTTTAAAGACCCCCCAAAATAGCAGCTGGCACTCCACCTAAGCTGAAAGCCAAACAGCCCCTCACATCTCCTGAAGGTTGACCACCCCAGTGCCCTGCTCCCAATAGAGCAGCATTTGAGCAGAGACAAAGGCAAACCAGCCCCATACCTCCCCAGAGCAAGGGATAGCCTAGCATCCCACCCCCAGGGTAGCAGAGCAGAATAATTGGACTAGTCTTACAAACTTCTTCAGCCTGAGCTACTGAGGCATTGAAAGGCACAAGTAACATTGACTATAGTTGAAGAAACTGCATGGAAACTATACTACTGTACTCACCCAGAACAAAGCCAACACGCTTTACCCAACAGATGCCCTAGGACACATCTACAGGTGAAAGTCTTTTCCCACAAATGCCCTGTGTATTAGTCTGTCTTCATGCTGCTGACAAACACATACCCAAGATTGGGAAATTTACAAAGGAAAGAGGTTTAATTGGACTTACAGTACCATGTGGCTAGGGAAGCCTCACAATCATGGCAGAAGGCAAGGAGGAGCAAGTCATATCTTACACAAATGGCAGCAGGCAAAGAGAGAGCTTGTGCAGGGAAATTTCACCTTATGAAGCCATCAGATTTTGTGAGAATTATTCACTAACATGAGAACAGTGCAGGAAAGACCTGCCCCCATAATTCAATCACCTCCCACCAGGTTCCTTTCACAACAGGTGGGAATTCAAGGCGAGATTTGGGTGGTGACATCGCCAAACCATATCAGCCCAGTACAAAATTGGAAGAAGCAACTGTTTTATCAGATGTACATATATCAATGAAGGGACGCAAGAAACAGGAAAAATTAAGGAAACGTGATACCTCTAAAGAAAAACACTAATTCTCCAGTAAATGAGCCCAAATAAATGGAAATTTATGAATCACCTAAAAAAGGATTCAAAGTAATAATCTTAAAACCAGTGAGGTAAAAAAAGAATACAGTCAGGCAATGCAACATAATCAAGAAAACAATTCGTTATGTGAATAATTTTTTAAAGAAATTTTTATCATAAAAAAGAACCAGGCCCGGGCACGGTGTCTCACACCTGTAATCCCAGAACTTTGGGAGGCCGAGGTGGATGGATCATGAGGTCAGGAGTTCGAGGCCAGCCTGGCCTATATGGTGAAACCATGTCTCTACTAAAAATACAAAAATTAGCCAGGTGTGGTGGCACATGCCTGTGGTCACAACTACTTGGTAGGCTGAAGCAGAAGAATTGCTTGAAACTGGGAGGCAGAGTTTGCAGGAAGCAGAAGTTGCACCACTGCACTCCAACCTGGGTGACAGAGTCAGAGTCCATCTAAAAAAAAAAAAAAAAAAAAAGAACCAAATAGAAATCCCGAAACTGAAGACATCAATTAATAAAATAAGACATGCAAATGAGAGCTTTAATAGTATACTATGTCACGCAGAAGAAATAATCTCTAAGCTTGAATAAAAGTTTTTTGAAATAACCCAGCTGAACAAAAAAGAGAGGGAAAAGAGTACAAAAGGATAAAGAAAGCCTACAGGACTTATGAAACACCACTGAGTGAACAAATTTCACATTATAAAATATCTTGAAGGAGAAGAAATGGGAAAAAGCATACAAAAACTATTTAATGCAATGATAGCTGAAAAACTAAGTCTTGAGAGAGATAGGAATATCCAGATTCAGGAAGCTTAAAAATTTCCAAATTGTTTCAATACAAAAAGTCTTCTTTTAGGCATAATATAGTCAAAGTGTCATAAGACAGAGAGGATTCTAAAAAGAGCAAGATAAATGTATCAAGATAAATATTAGAAAATCCCCACTAGACTAACAGTGGATTTCTCAACAGAAATCTTACAGGCCAGGAGGGAATAGGATGGTATATTCAAAGTGCTGAATGAAAAAATTTCTGCTGGCTAAGGATACTATTGCTAGTAAAACTATACTTCAAAAATGGATGAGAAATGAAGTTATTCCCAAGCAAAAAAAACTGAAGGAATTGATCACCAGTAGACTGGCCTTAAAAGAAATGCTTAAAAGAGCTCTACATCAGAAAAAAAAAGGATAAAAATTATCCTGAGAACATTCAAAAGTATAAAACTTACTGATAGATCAGACATACGAATGAGAAAAAGAGAGGTGAGAGTAGTAAAACCAGCAAACTGCAAAAATAAACAATAAAAGAAAGAAACAAATGATCTATAAAACAACCAGAAATAACACAACAAAATAATAAATAAGTCTTCATTCATCAATAATAATATTAAATGTGAATGGAGTATATCCTTTATTTAAAACAGACTGGCTAAATGAATTAATAAAAATGAGACCAAACTACATGCTGCCTACAAGAAATTCACTTCAACAGTAAAGACACACAGATTGGAGGTGAAGCAGTAGAAAAAAATATTCTACACAAACAGAAACCAAAAATGAGCAGGATTAGCTATGCTTAGATGAGACAGACTTCAAGTTAAAAACTGCAAGTAAAGACAAAAAAAGGTCACTAGATAATAATAAAGAAATTGATACAGAAAGAAGGTCTAACAACTATGAATATATATCTATCCAATACCAGAGTACTGTCCTATAAAGCAAATATTATTAGATATCAAGAGAGAGATAGACCCTAATACAATAATAGTTGATAATTTCAAGGCCCACTCTCAGGACTGCAGAGATCATCTAAGCAGAAAATCAACAAATGCTAAGTCACAAAACAAGACTCATGTATTTTTAAAAAATTAAAATCATATTTTTTTGATCACAGCTGAATGAAACTATGAATTATAAGATTAACACGATTAGAAAATATACAAATACATGGAAATTAAACAACCAATGGGTTAAGAAAGAAATTTAAAAATTCATAAAAACAGATAAAAATAGACATAAAATGAATAAAAACCTATAAGATAAATGAAAAGCAGTGCTGAGTGAATTTATGTCAATAAATACCTACATCATAAATGTAGAAAGATTTTATATAGACAATCAAATGACACACCTCAAGAAACTAGAAAATCAAGAACAAACCAAAACCAAAATTAGAAAAAATAATAAAGATCAGAGTAGAAATGAACAAAATAGAGACTTAAAAAGTACAAAATTTCAATAAAATGAAAAAGTATTAAAAAATAAACAAAATTAACAAGCCATTAGCTAGGCTAAGTATGAAAAAACACCCAAATAAATCAAATAAGAAATATAAAAGGAGACATTTCTTCTGATACTACAGAAATATGAATGATCATTACAGATTGTTATGAACAACTGTATGCCAACAAATTAGAAAATCTAAGGAGATGGATAAATTCCTAGAAATATAGAACCTACCAAGACTGAACCAAAAAAAAAAATAGGAAATCTGAATAGACTAATGATGAGTAACAAGATTTAAGCTGTAAAATAGTCCCCCAACATATACAAGCCCAGGAATGGATGGCCTTACTTTTAAATTTTACCAAATTTTTAAAAAGTTAGCACTAGTTTTTCTCAAACTATTCAAAAAAAAATCAAAGGAGAGGGATTCCTTCTTAACTTATTACAGGAGGTCACCATTACTTTGTTACAAAAATCAGACAAGAGCACAACAAAAAAAGAAAATTACTAGAAAATATCCCTGATTAGCATACATGCAAAAATTCTCAACACAATGCTCTATACATTCAACATTATATTAAAAATATTATACACCATAATCAAGTGAGATGTATCACAGGAATGCAAGGATGGTTCAACATATTCCAACCAATAAACTTGATACATCACATCAACCGAATGAAGGCCAAAAAACTGTATTGTCATCTCAATAAAGATAGAAAAAGCACTTGATAAAATTCAACGTCCCTTTATAATAAAAACTCTCTGAAGAAATAAGGTATAGAAAGAATGTACCTAAACACAAAAAGGCCATATATAACAAGCTCAAAGCCAACATTACATTGAATTAGAAAAAGTTGAAATCCTTACTCATATGAGCATAATTAAACCCCTACTTGACCACCAGTGTCTGCACATCACTGATCTGCTTTATGTCTCTCTAGTTCTTTTTTTCTTTTATTGGCAGAATCTCATATAAATAAAATTAAATTTGTGTACTCTTGCGTGCCTAGTTTCTTTTATTTAGGATATGCTTTAGAGATTCATCCATGTTGTTGCATGTATCAGTATTTAATTTCTTTTTATTACTGAGTGGTATTCCATTACATGGATAAACCAATATATATTTATATTGATGAATATTCATGTTGCTTCCCATTTTCAGAGATAACATAGGAAGTCTGTAAGCATCAGCCCCACACTTTTTTTTGTAAGCATAGATTTTTATTTCCCTTTGAAGATACCTAGATTGGGAATGCTGGACCATGTTATATGTGATTGTTTAACCTTCGTAAACACTGTAAAACTCTTTCTCAAAGTTGATGTAATATCTTGCATTCTCATTAGAAATGTATAAAAGCTTTCATTGCTCTTATTTCCTGGCTGTTAGTTATTGCTTTTTTTTTTTTCAATTTCAGCCTTTCAATTTAGTATGTGATCATATCACTGTGACTTTTTTTTTTTTTTTAACACATAGTCTTGCTCTGCCACTCAGGCCGGAGTGCAGTGGCATGATCTTGGATCACTGCAACTTCCGCCTCCCAGATTCAAGCAATTCTCCTGCCTCAGCCTCCTGAGTAGCTGGGACTACAGGTGTGTCCCACCATACCTAGCTACATTTTTGTATTTTTAGTAGAGACAGGGTTTCACCATGTTAGCCAGGATGGTCTCAATCTCCTGACCTCATGATCCTCCCGCCTCGGCCTCCCAAAGTGCTGGGATTACAGGCATGAGCCATCATGCCCAGCCCACTATGGTTTTTATTTGCATCATTTTATATATGCTTAATATCCAATCATATAGCTCCTTTGGTGAAGTGTTTATTCAAATGCTCTGCCCATTTTTAGGAAAATCAGATTGTTTACCTTATTATTACTAAATTGCAATAGTACTTTGCATATTCTGAATAAGTTATCATCCAATATATGTTTTGCAAATATTTTCTCACAACCCATGGCTTTCACGTTTATTTTAATAGTGTTTTTGCAATTTTTTAAAATAAAGTATAATTTACCATTATTAAGGGTACTCTTTCCTCTGTATTTAATATAAGTGTTTGCTGCTTTTAAGATTTTCTTTCTTTATAGAGTAATTGTCTTTGTATAATAGTGTTTGATTTGATTTTAATGAGCCTTGGGTTTTTTTATACCTTTTTTTCTTTTTGTGTATCATTTAGTTTCAAGCATTAATGGATTTGGTTTTCAAAAAATTTGGAAAATTTCTTTTTCTTTTTTTTTTTTTTTTGAGATAGAGTCTCACTCTGTCACCAGGCTGGAGTACAATGGTGTGATCTTGGCTCACTGCAACCTCTGCCTCCAGGGTTCAAGCGATTCTCCTGCCTCAGCCTCCTGAGTAGCTGAGATTACAGGCATGCGCCACCACACCCGGCTAATTTTTGTATTTTTAGTAGAGACAGGATTTCACCATGTTGGTCAGGCTAGTCTCGAACTCCTGACCTTGTGATCCACCCGCCTCGGCCCCCCAAAGTTCTGGGATTACAGGTGTGAGCCACTGCGCCTGGCCTTGTTCATCATTTCTTTAAATATTGTTACTTTTTCCTGCTTCTCATCTATTTTTCTGGGGTACTAATTACATGCAGTTTAAATTATGTAATATTTTCCCAAAAGCCACTGATACTTTATTGTTTTTAAATCCTTTCATTTTCCTTTGCTTTATCTTGGTAAATTTTCATTTATCTATTTCAAATATACTATTCTTGTTTTCTGCACTAATTGCTATTACAGATATTGAATTTTTATCTCTTGATTTCTCATTTGTATCTTTTAATATCTTCCATTTATTTTACATGCTCATGTCCTCTACCTTCTTGAACATAAGAGGCATATTTATAATAGCTATTTTAACATTATTGGTTTGTAGTTTATCATCTTGATCTATTGTTTTTGGGCCCAGTTTTACTGACTGATTTTTCTCTTGGCTATTGGTCATATTTTCCTGCTTTGTTCTATGCCTCATAATTTTTGTTCAGGTACCACATATTGTTAATTGTACATTTTTGATTGCAGAATTTTGTATTGCTTAAGAAGCATTGAATTACTATTTTTCTTGCTTGTAGTCAAGTTGCTGTGAATAAGCAAAAGAATAAGAAAGTAATTCCACCTTCAGAATCTTAGGATTTTACCAAATGATCTTTGCTTTACAAGGCATTTACATTCTTACTGGATACATGGACATTCCCCAGCCTTGATTGAGATCCTAGTATTATTCTACCTGTTCCTTTCCAAGGTTTCCTTCTGTAGGCTAGGGTAATTTCCATTCATATATGCACAAATCAATGCCGAGGAGACTGCTCTGCAGATCTCTGGAAACTTTTTTCTAGGCATCTTTCTTCCCTTACTTCAATGCTAGGTCTACTGAACATGAATATATATATATATATATATACACACACACACACACATATATATGTATACATATTCACATTTTCTATTGTAATTTCTCTTTATGTCTCTCACATCTTCTCACCAAGTAGTTATAGTTGGTATGCTGTTGTCACCCTCAAATGCACATCATGTAGTTGTATCTCTTAAATTATAACACATTATAATAATCAGTTAAAACTTCTCTAGTTTTATTTGGTTACTTTAATGACTCACATTATTTCAATATTTAATGTACTGCTATGTGTTTTATGTGGGCTTTGAGGCTGTGTGTAATTATTACTTGCCTATCTCTTAAGTCTCATTTTTTAAACCACTTGCCCAGGTTCATTCTCTACACTGGAGCCATATTAGCCTTTGACTAGTATCTCTTCAAAAGGATCATTTTACTTCTCTAATTACTTGCCTTATTAAAATTTGCCCAACCTTAAATACTCGGTTTAAGCTACCTCTACTGTCCCAAGGAAAAATATCTCTCATCTCTCAACTCCAGGATAGGTAATTTTGTTGTATATCTTTTAGTGTTATAACATTTTTCAGAGAAGTTACATAAGTATTTAATCATTAATTTATTTTTATAATTAGGTGTTTACTGTTAGGCTTCTCAGTTGGCCAAAAATCTGCATAACAGCAGAGTCTATGTTTATTTATGCTCATCATTTTACTTATACAATTAGAAAAATTACAGGGACACAATGAGGTTCAATTAATATTTTTAAATATTAATAAACTAAATGTAATGTCAGAGAGGCATTTTCCTATATAAATAGCTGCTTTCAAAATTTCTTGGTTCTGAGGCTTCCAAAGGAGCCTAAAATTGTCACACTTCTACAGAGAACTCAAAAAATACAAGAAAATCATCCTTAAGCTTATTTTTTTTTTTTTTTTTTTTTTTTTTTTTGAGACGGAGTCTCGCTCTGTCGCCCAGGCTGGAGTGCAGTGGCGGGATCTTGGCTCACTGCAAGCTCCGCCTCCCGGGTTCACGCCATTCTCCTGCCTCAGCCTCCCAAGTAGCTGGGACTACAGGCGCCCGCCACTACGCCCGGCTAATTTTTTGTATTTTTAGTAGAGACGGGGTTTCACCGTTTTAGCCGGGATGGTCTCGATCTCCTGACCTCGTGATCCGCCCGCCTCGGCCTCCCAAAGTGCTGGGATTACAGGCGTGAGTCCTTAAGCTTATTAACAAGTAAAGTTGAAAGGAAGATGAGCCACCAATGTCTAAGAATTTCTCAACGGAACTTCTGGAACTATGTCTTTGTAATGTCAGCATTAGATGGTTAGGTGACTCAAAGAATATAATTTCATATTAAAATGCGTAGCAATATCTGCAATCTTTAAATAACTAAGATTGATGTATGTTTTAGACTACACAAGTCCTTACCAAGTTGTATTAAAACACAATTTAAGACTTTCAAAAATATTAAAGGGATAAAATATCTGATAAAATGTTTTAGTATAGGACTTATTTGTAATCATTTTTTAATTCATTATTGTCATGGTGAAGATACTCTGTATTAATCATGAATCTTTGGGTGGTATATACTTACAGGCCAAAGCTGTTCAGAGATTTAATTCCATCGCCATGGGCCCAACTACCCCATCCTCATTTCTCTTATTTCCTTTATTTTTACTTTCTTCTCAAGCAGACTCTCCCATAAGGTGTCAAAATAATTGCTGAATGCCCCTGGTTATCCAGACACTGGACAAAGACTCACTTTCTTAAAGGTTCTAGGAAAAATTCTAAAGTGTATTTCCATTAGGCCATTAAATATCTAGTCACTCAAGACAGTGTAATGAATTGCTCTTTTTCCAAGCCTGGCTCATAAACTTATGCATGGAGAAAGAGTGGGGTTAGCCCTACTTGAACCATATGAGAGGAGTGGTAAAAAGGTCAATTCAATAAAAAAAAAATAGAATTCCACTTGAAGAAGTGGGAATAGATGCTGGGAATTAAAAAATATGCTAAATATTCACTAAACACAATAGTAAGTATTATCCATTAGTTTTCAGGAGATTTCATCACATGTAGTAGAATGTTAAATATGTCAATTTACTTCCCATGTTAAATATGAATGGTTCTATCTACAACATGAAAAATCTTCATTGGTGTCTATCCTTTACCCAGAAAATAAAATATTTATGCCGAATTGTATATAAGGTAATTCATAACCTGGCCTTCTCTACCTTTCTTTGCTTGTCTGCCATCACTCTTACAAATTTGTACTCCTTAAGTACATTTTCTACTTATTATGTAATCACAACCTATCCATCTCTAAGGTTTCAGAAACTCCATACGAACCTGAGGGCCTCTTGAAGATATGGGCCTAATCTTCATAAAAAGAGCCTAATAAATAGATGACTGATATAATATGAATTCTTACATTTATATTGATATTTGAATTTATTCAAAGTCATTCTCTATGCCTATTTGCATGGCATAAAACAAAATATGTGCTTATCTGATTTAAGAAAACATTCTAGGAAAGTTAGGTACATTTTGTATCTATTATACAGTGGGATAGTGGAGAAAAAAGGCAGAGAGGGAAAAATCAATTCGAAGAGCATCTTGGGCAGCAGGTTTGTCTGGTGTGAAGGCACGGAGGTGTAAGAGGAGTTAGTAATTCTAACAATAAGTACTTTACAATGTTCAGTGTTTGGAAAGTTCAAGGAGATGAGAGCAGGGGGGAAATGACCAGAACCCAAGAGGCATTGCATTTTATGTAGAATTTAGTGTTCATTCTGTAGGTATGTAATGCCTTTAACATTTATTCTATAAACACTATATTTCTTTTCAAATACTCTTTATTAAGAAAGTGTAAATACTATTACACAACTAAGGAGAGTGAATTAACATTATAAATATCAACACAGCAATTTCAAGTAATTCCTCGTTATGGGTATTATTTCCTAAACATAGCTCTTCATTAATACCTTAGAAAGTAGGTTTCTACAAATGAATATTGAGAGAATATTTTCAACATATAGCTATAAACACATTATGTTTTATAATTATAGCTAGTTTTCATTTAATCCATGTTACTCAAATACAATTTTGTGAATTATATGCCACAATAATTCTATATGCATTCTTTGAAAAGTCAAGTGTGTGCTGGTTGCATTCTGGAAAACCAGTCAAATATTTATAATTAAGAAGTTAATAAACTAAGAAAATGACGAGGCCGGGCGCGGTGGCTCACGCCTGTAATCCCAGCACTTTGGGAGGCCCAGGCGGGCGGATCACGAGGTCAGGAGATGGAGACCATCCTGGCTAACACGGTGAAACCCCGTCTCTACTAAAAATACAAAAAATTAGCCGGGGTGGTGGCAGGCGCCTGTAGCCTGTAGTCCCAGCCACTCGGGAGGCTGAGGCAGGAGAATGGCGTGAACCCAGGAGGCAGAGCTTGCAGTGAGCCGAGATCGCGCCACTGCGTTCCAGCCTGGGCGACAGAGCAAGACTCCGTCTCAAAAAAAAAAAAAAAAAAAGAAAGAAAGAAAGAAAGAAAGAAAGAAAGAAAGAAAGAAAGAAAGAAAGAAAGAAAGAAAGAAAGAAAATGACAAAATATCCAAAATTCAACCTATGATGTACCTACATTTCAATGATTAGATAAACTTAAGCTCATCGTCTTAGAAACACATTGAACTCATGGGACATAATAGCTGAAATAATCTATGCTCATAAAATTTTAGTACAAAAAGGAGATTCAGCTTTAACTCTAAAAATAACTGAAGAAATATATAAATATCTAAAGTTAGACAATGGTAAGATTAGCTGGAAAATAATCTGTTATAGATTATGGTTAATTTACAAAGTGGTGTTATTTAGGAGAAAATTTATCTTTCTCTAAGTGTTATTTTGCTTTATGATGTTTCAGGAATCAATTTTATGATTGAAAGATGAGCACTAAATTACTATCATTTACACATAGCTTTTATTACTTGCTTGTAGCACCCAGCATAGTGCCCAACATATTCTAGGATCTCACTGAATTTTTTTTTGATACAATTCTGTAAATTTTTTTTTGAGACGGTGTCTTGCTCTGTCGCCCAGACTGGAGTGCAGTGGCACCATCTCGGCTCACTGCAAGCTTCGCCTCCTGGGTTCAGGCCATTCTCCTGCCTCAGCCTTCCAAGTAGCTGGGACTACAGGCGCCCGCCACCATGCCCGGCTAATTTTTTGTATTTTTAGTAGAGACCAATTTTGTATTTTTTAAAAATTACTTTTTGTTAATCACAGTAATATATACATGTGTTTGAAAACTGCAGGCACATAACTGGCCTAAATATTATTTGATCCACTGATCATACTTGGTGAACATTATACAATTATATATTATACATTACACAATTACAACATTCAATTGTGAAATTATACAATTGTGAAGTTTTATAATTTTCCAAATACATCTTCATCCCAGCAAAAATTCCTGATTCTCTGGACTCAGAATGCTTGATTTAATCCAGGGTCTTCATTTCAGAGATAAAATGATGAGTCTAACAGTTGATAAAATGCTTGTATAATTAGTATTAAGATCTCCTAATTCTGGTCCATTGTCATTGTGTTACATCATGAGTCAATACTTTTATCTGGCAAATATTTAGAAGCATAACCTTTATTAAGCTTGATTATTAGAATTGAGTATCCCAGTTTGGATTTATCAATCAAAGGGAAAATTCATCAGTTTGAGTGTAAGTGTAGGGAAACATGGGAAACAAAGTTGCTGAATCAAGCTCAGGAGTTCAAGACCAGCCTGGGCAACATGTTGAGACCCCTGTCTTTACTAAAAATACAACAACAACAACAACAATAAAAAATAGCTGGGCATGATGATCACTTAAGCCGTGTGGGCTGCGTTGCAGTGAGCCAAGTTCGCACCAAAGCACTCCAGCCTGGGTGACAGAGCGGGACTCTGTCTCAAAAAACAAAGAAGAGAATAATGGTATTTTTCCAGTCATCCATTATCAAGTACCTACTATGTGTTAGGTACTGTTCCAGAGACAGTGAATATAGCTGTTAACTTAATCTCTGCCCTCAATAAGCTAGATAGGTAAGACGGACAATAAACACATATTAGTTTATCAGACGGTAATAAGTGCCACAGAAAAAATTAACGGTGAAAAGTGGGAAACTGATTATGATGATAATATTCATACAATTTTAATTAGGTAGATCAGTAAAGACTTTTCTAAAACTTGATATTTAAATAAAGACTTGAGTTAGGTGGGAAAACAAGTCATGAGGCTATCTGGGGAAAGAGTATTCTAGAGAGAATATCAAGAGCAAATGCCTTAAAGCAGAAAATGAAACCAAAGGGGCAATGTGGCCGTAGTAGACTAAGGAAAAAAGATATACGAGATGGGGTCAGAGGGTTAACATGGAGCCAGACCCTTTGGCTACTACACCATCTTTTACTGTGATTTTACTCTGAAAAGGACAAGAAGACATTGGAGGGTTTTTAGCAGAGGGTTGACATAGTTTGATGCGCATTTTCAATGGAATTTCTGTTTGTGCTGTGCTGAAAATAGATTTAAGAGAGTAGGATAGGCTGGGCGCAGTAGCTCACGCCTGTAATCACAGCACTTTGGAAGGCCGAGGCGGGTAGATCACCTGAGGTCAGGAGTTCGAGACAAGCCTGGCCAACATGGTGAAACCTCTTCTTTACTAACAATACAAAAATTAGCCAGGTGTGGTGGCATGCTCCTGTAATCCCAGCTACTTGGGGGCTGAGGCAGGCCAATCGCTTGAACCCGGGAGGTGGAGATTGCAGTGAGCCGAGATCGCGCCACTGCAGTCCAGCCTGGGCCACAGAGCAAGATTCCATCTCAAAAAAAAAAAAAAAAAAAAAAAAAAGAGAGAGTAGGTTGGAAACAGGAGAACAGTTAATAGGCAGTGCTATAATCCTTCTTAAACAACTGCACAGTGAAGGATGATGGTAGTTCCTACAGGTAATCAGAGAAATAGGTAAGAAGTGTTGGGATTGTCGGTAAGTGTTCTATAAATATTGTCATCATGCACTGCTTTCTGTACAAAAATATTTACATTTTTTAAAACAATAATATCTGAGAATATAAACTGTCAAGGTGATTACTCATTATATTAAATGCAACAAATTTTAAAGATTTTCAATACAAATGTGAATGTGCTTACTTTCATAGTGTAAATTAATTGCAAAGCAAAATGTCTCATACTATTACTTTATGTGTCTATGGATACCATATGAGTATATTTTCATATTAGCATCTTAGTAATTTATGCATATTTTTCTTAATTATTCAGAATTATTTCTATCTCTGTCTTCTTGGTCATGTACACAGAGTAAGCCCTCCAGTTAGAATGAAAATGCAGGAAATTCTTTTATTACATTTTAATATTAGCATAAATTTATATGAAATGAGGACTATTAACTGAAACAGAACATTTTTATAACAAACAAAAATCACTTTGTTTTAATAAAATGATATTCTGAGAAATATTCAAGGAATACTACACATAAACATGTGTTTCGTTGGTCCATTCATGACTCCATACCCACAATTTAGAAACCTAACTGCTTTGGGTAGAAGGGTGTTCTTGTACTACTGTGAGAATTAAACCAAGACCAGGTCTTTAGATCAAAGCAAGTTTCCCTAGCTCCTCAACCTAACAGCAGTCTAGACCTGCCTTCTCAGTAACAGAAACACCACATTTTCATCCCAGTGAAAATAGGATGAATTTACAGTTTTTATTATATCCAGTTAATGATTCTCTGATTGTTGTATGCCAGACTGAGATTCTCATTAACTTACATCTGGTTCAGGATGCTCTGGTATTTTAAACACATCCAAAACAATACAGAGACAGCATTTTACAGCCTAAAAGATTAGCATGTTCCTTGCTGTGGGAAGTTTTACTTCACCTGAATTCCAGAGAGTATAAAAGGATTCACCTGAAGAATCAGGCCTATCAGATACTAAATTATGTCATCAGAGAGTCAAGATCATGATCAGGCCAGTTGAAAATCCAGGATTACCTCTTCTTGGGTTTGTGGCCAATCAGAGTGGCCCAAGTATTCAATGGCCTGATTGGTGCAAAGAATGATGGACTAAAATATGTTTATGAGAGAGTCTTTGTGACTAAATGAATAAAAAAAACTCAGGAATGCAGAAAGACTGACACCATAATATTAGCTATATCTTTACAAATTGATGGTGTTACATAAATAATTTATCCTCTCAAAAACGCTGATTTTATCATAAAAAGTGTTCATTTATCACATCATAGTACTTAATGTTTGGACAAAATCATATGAATACATACTATTAGTCATAGACAATTTATTAGTAAAGATTTAATTATTGTATTTCTTTTAAGTGCTAAAATATCACCCAATAGATTTTATTCACCTCTTCACTTTCCTTTTATTCAAATATATCTATTAATAAAGATGCTTCTATGTATTCTAAGTATTTATTTTCTTGGCATAACCAAACCTTTTTCAACCTGAAAATATATTTAATATGTAATTGAAATGAAGAAAACAGAAACTCATAAGATAATGTGCATCTATCTTGTTAGAAAAAGCTGACAGTTTTTGGAATAAAATGGTGTTTTAGTGAAAGTGAACATTTATATTGGTGTCAACTGCAGAAGTATTTCAAATAAAATTAATAAAGAAACAAGTATTTGGTGTCGGTTCATTTTAACCCTGTTTGATCTTAACAGGAAATGATAGCTATTAAAATGACGTTAGGTCACAGAATACACTGAAAGTAGAGATCAATGGAGAGCAAACAATGCTACATTTTTAGATCAAGGTTCTAACACTAGGGAATGTCCCAAGATGCATTTCATTTTCAAATAAATTCCTTCTACTTGGAGCCAAAGGTCAGCAAGCTAGCATTAGTTAAAGAGATTTCAGCTGCATCAAAGTTAAATAACAACCAAAAGTCACCCACAGCAGAGCCTCTCTAATCCATAGATGTGTCCCCAAGGGCGGCAGGCCAAAGTAGAAAACAGAGATTTGTTCAAGGTGCCAACAATAATTGCTGTGATCAGCAGGTATCTTGGGCTGAGAGCTCAGGATAAGAAGCTTTTTTTTGTTTGCCTCACAGAAGAAAAAAATCTATTTAAGCACACTTACTTGTTGAACTAAATACATGTAGTTGGAACTGATTAATCTCTATAACACAACACAGCCAATTATAATAATGTTTAGAAATATGACATTTTATAGTAAACATAGGAAACTTTATATTCCTTTAAAATATCTGATCAACCTAATGCATAGAATACCTTTTAGGTTTTTTTTTAAGTGAAGTCTTTCTGTGAAAAGCTTTTTCATCCTGTTGAAAATATCAATATTACAAGCCAGAGTTGTTTCTTTCAGATAAATAAATATTGATTTTCCTCCTCTATTTTTTACCAATGACAGGCAACTGCCTTCATTGCTCTGAATATTTTATTGTTTTAGAATTGACAAATTCCATTAGCATTGAATTTTTATTGTTTCATTGTTCCCACTTTTAAAAAAGGCATTTGTGTTATTTTATGTGTGTGTGGTAGATAAGACAGAAAAGTGAGACTGAAATTAATGTAGCACTCACTCCCTATACCATAGTTTCCTTGTCGAATATGATTTATCTAAGTTTGACCTATCACTGACTTTGCAAGAATTTATTAAAAACTGAGCTGTTTCCAATTTCATTCTTTTTAGCAAATTAGACAACAAAGTTATGTACATTAATGCAACAATTAATTGTAACCAAGAGCTGCTCAAAATATCTCATGTGAATGAATTTAAACATATGTCACTTAATTCCTAGCAATTGTTCTGTGGTGCTCTGTGTAGGCAAGTGTTGTGACTGTACTTAATGTTAACCACCATTGGACAAATTAGCAAACACAGCCTGATATGTGCATGCACATTGACTTGATATACTGGGCTTTATTTTCTCATTATCTTTGCATTCAAATCTGACTTATTATACCAGAATAAGTATTAAGACAATATTGATCTAATTCACCAAATTTCAATTCATTTGTATGTCAGATGGATGATTTTAGAAATTCAACCAACAGCAAAGTGACATAAAGAAATTACCCAAATGCAGAAAAAAAATCAACACATTGTTATAAAAGTACTTTTTAAATCTTGAGTTCAAAAAATTCTAAAAGAAAGACATAAAAAGAATTGATAAACATATTATACATTTACCTTGTTGTTTGTTGTTAACCTTCTCTAAACATTACTTTATGAACATGCCTCAAAATTCCTCCAATAAAAATGTGTTTCCAAAGACTCGTTTGAAATATTTTAATAGTTAATAATGCTTGGACAATTTTTAAGGCTTCATACTAGATTTCACTCAAGAAGAAAGTAATGCAATACAAACATTTCATTATAATTTGCTTAAAACTTCTTAAGTTATAAAATTTGCTATAAACACTCGATTGGGGATTTTTTTTCAACTTGTATTACTTTACCAAATTTTAGACTGTACAAGTAATATAAAAATCAGCCAGATTAAGATTTATGTAATCATTCTATTCTACAGCTTTAAAAGTGGTCATGGTGTTCAAAATGGGTTTAATTATAATTCTAATTAAAGACACTAACAATCAACATAAATAATTAGACAAGATTGGATTTAGAGGGTAGAAATTCTTAACAATTCTGTGCAGCAGTTAACCTGTATGTACACTGGGGGAATAGAAGAAAGAAAAAAAGTATTTTACAACTTTTTTTCTACAATATGTTGTTATTGAATAACTCCATATGGATATATGTGTAAACAGAATCTTTTCAAGGAAATTAAAACTTTAAATAATTGCTGTGCTAATGCAGAATGAGAACATTTGCCTATGAATATTTCTTTATAATTATTATGCAATTTCAATAAAAATTACCAAATATGTATTCTGGAAAATTTTTAACTTATGATTATTTTATGAAACATTATATAACAGTGAAAAGAAAAATATATTTGAAAATATGAACTATGCATAAACATCTTAATCTTTTTCTTATAAATATATTTCTACTGTGAATTCATCTACAAGGCAAATAATCAATGATGCTTCTAATCACTTATTAATTTTGACAGCAACATTATCTCTTCATTGGTTTCTTCACCAACTTATATTAATGATCGAATTTTCTAATCTAGAGACTTTCAAACATCCTTAAAGTAAAATATACCCTGTGATTCAGATTCTGAAAGAGTCAATCTATGCAAAACATCCAAAATATTAAATATTAAATGCCAGTTAAAAGAAAGGGGATATAGCTGTATGTATTTATGTTTCTGTGTGTATGTTTAAGATTAGATTAGATGGCTGGTCATGGTGGCTCACACCTGTAATCCTAGCACTTTGGGAGGCTGAGACGGGTGGATTGCCTGAGCTCAGGAGAGACCAGCCTGGGCAACATGGTGAAACCCCGTCTCTACTAAAATACAAAAAAAAAAAAAATTAGCTGGGTGTGGCGGCATGTGCCTGTGGTCCCAGCTACTACTAAAATACAAAAAAAAAAAAAAAATTAGCTGGGTGTGACAGGATGTGCCTGTAGTCCCAGCCACTCAGGAGGCTGAGGCAGGAGAATTGCTAGAACCTAGGAGGTGGAGGTTGCATCGCGTCACTGCACTCCAGCCTGGGTTACAGAGCGAGACCCCATCTCTGAAAAAAAAAAAAGATTATATATTATATATATATGAGTATTTATATATATGTATATATTTTGAGTTTATATAAACACATATAAATCTTTTTAGGATTTTAGTTATGTAAAACTCTGTAATACACTAGCCACTCCTGTCCTATGATGTCTTTTAATTAGTATTGAATTTTGTTTTTTTCTCATATATGTAAACATTCAAATTCAACACTTACATATTTCAGGTGGTTTGAAACTAGGTAACTATAATTTTAATCCAATTTTAATATAAATACACATTGATACTTTAATATTTATAGATTCAATAAAAATTTAAATCTATATTCCTATGGCAATCGTAAAAATACCTATTAAACTGGTGAATGTACAACTTTTGCTTTTATTTTCCTAATCATTAAGGATTCAAATGTTTGGAATGATATTAATATTACTATATTTCAAATATTATCTAGTTACTGTAATGTTTAGATTTCAGAGCACTTTTAACTAAAAAACATTAAAATGTACGTAAATTAAGTAGGGCGTATTTTATTTTGTTTGCATTTTACTTATGTTTTAATGAATATTTTGATGTTTATTTGTTTGTTTATTTACTCTCTAAAGCACATCCTTCCAAAATATCTGCATAAGCAAGAAGTCTGGATTACAATTAGTAAACTATTTTATTAAAGCTTCTAAACAAAGTGAAACACTGAATGAAAAGCACATTCAGCAGAAAATAGCTTGATAGAAATTTCTAAAATCATAGTTTAGAAAAGAAATATACCTATAAAAATGTTAATTGTGCTCCCAAAATAAAATTTGTATTTTTATTTTTAGCTCTCGCAACCCAAATTCAAATCAAATCTTAATCCAAGCAAGTAGTTTCTAGTATTCTAGCATGTTTTTAAAAATCTAATCATTATCTTTCAGCAAGTTATGGAAACAGTAGCCAACTTTTGCTTACCAGGCCTTAAAAATCACATGATCATACTTAACAGCACTTTAATTCCTGGCCTTGTTTGACTTAGATTGTTGCTTTTATTCATATTTGTCTATTTTCTTTGTTTCATATTATTATCAATGGGCATACTGAATAAAACAGCAAAGGCAAATGATATAATAGGTAAACAGAATATACATCTCCCCCACCCCCAACACCTCCCTCCACCGTCAAGCGATTCTCCTGCCTCAGACTCCGGAGTGGCTGGAACTACAGGCCAGTGCCACCACACCCCGGTAATTTTTGTATTTTTAGTAGAGATGGGGTTTCACCATGTTGGCCAGGCTGGTCTCAAACTCTACCGCAAGTGATCCACAGGCTCGGCCTCCCAAAGTGCTGGGATTACAGGCGTGAGCCACCGCACTCGGCCGACTGAGTTATATAAACATAAATGCAAATAGATTCCCCACCCCTTGGAGGAAATAGCATGAGTGTGGGTAACACAGGGAAAAATACTAATTAAATATAAAATGGGCTGTTAGAAGGAAGCTTTGAAAACAATTACAAGATTGTATTTAATTTGTAAAAAGTTTTGTTGCTACTAGAGGATTTGGAAGTGAAAGGTCATCCATTCAATATTATATTGTGATAGAAGCCCTCATTTTTTTTTCAGTAAACAGTGTATTATGGGAGAAGTACAAGGATTAGAGAAAAGTAATTTTAGTAACGTAGTTCTGGAATTATACCTGTAGCTATTGGAATTGAGATGAAATGTGGGATCATATAAATACCATCTGCAACTATCAAATCATTTTCTTTCTAATAAGAGATTAGGTAAGGCATAAAACACACATTCCCATTCCTAAAGGGAGAAATCAGAAAAAAAAAAATAAAGGGGCATTCATTAATTGTGGATTAGATAAAGAAAATGTGGTACATATATACCTTGGAATTCTATGCAGCTGTATAAAAGAAGAAAATCATGTCTTTTCCAGAAACATGAATGTGTTTATGAATGCAGCTGGAGGCCATTATCCTAAGTGAATTAATGCAGGAACATGAAACCAAATGCCACATGTTCTCACTTACAAGTAGGAGCTAAATATTGGATAGATATGGATACAGAAATGGGAACAATAGACAATGGGGACTACAAAATGGGGAAGGGGGAAAGTGAGTAAGGGTTGAAAAATTTTCTGTAGGATTCCATATTCACTATTTGGGTGATGAGTTCGGTTGAAGCCAAAACCTCAGCATCACGCAATATATCCATGTAACAAACCTGCACATGTACCCCCGAACCTAAAATTAAAAAATAAATCAATAAAAATGTAAAAAGGAAGAAAGAAGATTCAGAATATCCACCATTAAAAAAACTTGAATCTTCTTGACATAAAAATTTTAGTTTCTGCAGTAAATGGTAAATGAGATACACATGCACACACACACACATGCACACACACACATACATATATATATTTGTTCAGAAAATTAACAGGAGAGAAAATCATAATGAGAACGAATTTTCTTTGTTAGAGGCCTCTTGATGAGAACATTAACCTTAGTATGCTGTTAGGAAAGAATTCTGATGAAATCCTTAATCACTGAGTATATTTCATATGAAACACTGAGCCCTCAAGATGTCATTGAAAAGGAATAACACTTAAATTGTAATTTAATCACCATCTTTTCAATGTTATTCCATCTCCATAACTTCTACGTTGGGAATCTTTATATAACTCATAAATAGAGATATACCTTGACCTTGCATTATCAATATACTTCATGAATAGAGATTATAAGGTAATGTTATTTAAAATTATCAGAGCCAACATTCTTAGTTTAATATTATTCTGATCATAATTTCAAAAATCTAGTTTTAGCTTGATTTTTAAAATGCCATACACCTGTTTGCAATTAAGTGTCTTTTATAATAATTGTCATTAAATTCATTGTGACTCAAAGAGAAAGGATTTTAAAAACAAACATTTTCTACATTGCTTGGATTCATTGTTTCCAGTGATAACTCTAATAGTTTGTCATATAAAGCATCCTTGCTTCTCTTCAAGTAGTAGTAAAACATAATTGGCAAAATTGCTGTTATATTCAGAGTAAAATCAAGTACACTGTGATTAGTAGACATAATGGTCTTACTATCTGTTACTGGTTGAATTGTGGCCCCTCCACAAAAAAAAAATATGTTGGAGTCTTAACTTATTTGGAAATAGGATCACTGTAGATGTAAACAGCTAAGGTGAAGTCATATTGGAGCAGGGTGAGCACTCATCCAATATGATGATTGTCCTTAGGACAAGATGGCCATATGAAGGAAAATACCATGGGATGATGAAGACAGAGATTGGAGTTATGCTGCTGCAAGCCAAGGAATGTTAAAGAATGCTTGAAAAACCACCAGCAACTAGGAATAGCTAGGATAAGAGTCTCCTGTGAGTTTCAGAGGGAACATGACCCTGTAGCACCTTAATTTCAGACCAGCTTCCAGGCTGTGGGACAATACATTTCTGTTGTTTTAAGCCACTCAATTGTGGTACTTTGTTATGTCAGTCGTAGGAAGCTACTAATAGCATTACAGAGAGCACTAGAGTATTGTACCTAAAATCCAACTAGAAATGACTCTTTTTAATTGTATAGAAAAGACAGTGTTTAAAGTGCCTTTTCCAATTCTCAGCTTTGAAACTAATAGCTGTAGAAGAGATGGATATAACCTTAGTTACCATGACAATGTTCACCAAAAATCAGAAGATAATATTGACAAAAACATGAGATTATATCATACCTTTTAATGGAATATTTTAAATTTTTTTTATTTTAGGATCTATTTCCAGCTTCTTACCATGACTTGTAAGATTGTTCAACTCTTGGACATTTTGGCTGTCTACTTTCTCTTTTTAATATCACCCCACCCCCGATATTCTCTCCTGCTGAATTTACCGATTCTTTTTCGCCTTCTAGCCTTTAAACATTGTGTTCTCTTTTCCCTCCCTAGTCACTTAGTTTGGACCTATGCGTTTAACAGCTCTCTATTTAAATTTCTTTTCCTCAAGAAGGCTTGCTTAACCCCATCTTTCTCCACAATGAAACCAGATTATGTTCTTTTGTTGTATGGCTCTCTTGTAACTCTGTTGTTCTTTTTAAATATTTCTCATCACACTTTCCATAACATATGCATTCCCAAGAAAAGAGAGGTTTTATTTTTATCTTACTCATAACTGAGAATCTAGTACCTTCAAAGTTCTGGGTGAATACAAGGACTCAGTAAATAATTGTCAGTTTAATGAAAACAATGGCCCTAGTAAGAGAGTTTCTTTTAATATCTTTAGGCAAATGTAAAAATCTTTAAATATCTTTTAATAAAAAAAGAGAGACATATGCATGATAATATCAAGTCTGGTATCATAGCAGTATTAACATTTTTCTCTATTAACACATTAGTTCTTATAGAAAATTTAAAAAATTTATAATTACATTAAAATTATGTAAATGATATGAATACTAACTCCATGCCATTATATTTTCATTTAAATTTTAAAAATTGCCAGCATTAAAAAAGGAGGATAATTTTGTAAGCCCTTCTATACTAACGTATGCATCAACATTATTTAACATAGGCCACGCTATTCCTGGTGTTAATAAACTTGAAAACCGGCCTTTCGTAGGTATGAAACAAATGTTAATATGACTGTAGACACACTTCTGATTTCGACAGTCTCTATGCATCAACTTCTAGAACAAACTGCTAAACATTATAAAATGAACTCAAACAATTAATTAAGTAATTTTTAACATTGTCTATACTTTACAATTTTTTAAAATACATTTCAATTATTCTTTTAGTTTGAGAATCAATATTTGTTTGGAGGCTACTCAACATTTCATTAAATTTTATATGGGTTATAATATTCATTCATTTACTTTGAAGCATGTTATCTTACTGATTTTGTAATGCTAAAAGCTGAACCCAGCAAATCAACTAAATCTTGGAGTGCTGTATCATTGTCAAAACTATCCCCTAACTCGTCTTAGGAAAACAAAACTACCCCTAAACATCAGATAAAAATACATATTTAAAACAATTATCAAGAACCTTCTCTATTATTTTTTAAAAAGATAATGAAACTGCTGTTATTTTTTCTTAGGATATAGGTTTATGTAACTTTAGAAGAAATCTAAAAATTGTCTCAAGAATTTTTGAAATTTAAATGATAACTGTTAATACTTAAAAGAACATTTACTTATATAATGCCATCTTATTATAGCATTCTCACAATATATTTAAATCAACAGCTTGGTGTTCAAGATATAATTAGGTCTGGCTTTTGTGATGATGTAATCTTGAATGCCCAACATTCTGTCCTCTATAAATTCTTACTCTGTTTGTTATTCTGGACCTTTTTAACAGGCAAGGAAGCATACTCCTTTCAAAAAACAGTGATATGCATTTAAAATTGGTTCCGCACATAAATGAAATACAGACATGGAGAATATATGAGAAAAATAAAGAAAGCTTTGATTTCCTTCATTTTTCAGTATTTGAAAGACAAAGAGCATAGTAAAACTGTATGGGTGAATATAAAACACACAGTCTTATACCAGAATTCAGAAAACTTTCTTTTCATTCTAATAATTGTCTAAAGCTATTGTAAATGTCCTTTAAAATTTCATAAACATTAAAGAACTCCAGTATATTTCTATGCATTTACAGAAGAACATACCCAAATTAAGAAGGACAAAAGTCAAACCAAACATTTTTCAAATGTATCCAAAGATTTTTTTAGACGGAGTCTGGCTGAGCCTCCCAGGCTGGAGTGCAGTGGCACGATCTTGGCTTACTGCAACCTCCACCCCGCGGGTTCAAGTGATTCTCCTGCCTCAGCCTTCCAAGTAGCTGGGACTATAGGCGCACACCACCATGCCCAGCTAATTTTTGTATTTTTTTTCATTTTTTTAGTAGAGACGGGGTTTCACCATGTTGGCCAGTATGGTCTTGATCTCTCGACCTTGTGATCCACCCGCCTCGGCCTCCCAAAGTGCTGGGATTACAGGCGTGAGCCACTGCGCCTGGCCTCCAAAGATTTTTTTACTCATTTTCCAATTTTTATTTTTAGTTATTTTATTGAAAGCATCAGGAACACATATCTGAGCAGTGAATTTTAGAAGAAAGACTAAAAACCTTTCAGTATTAAATTAAACCATCAGAACAAGCTAATATACAACAACTAACCTGACTTTCTGACATAGTCTTTTCTTCTTATGAATAGAATAGGCATAATAGGGCTTGTAACTAACACCTAACAATGACGACAACTTTCAACACAATGGTATCGAGTTCTGGAGGTCCATGGATTACTTTCTTCTTTTCATCTGCAGCTCTTGATAAGGCCATAAAAATATCCCCTATATTTTCTACAAATGTTAACACAAATACAATAAGGCAGAGGTGGGTATTCTATTCTTACTGGAAATGAAACCCGTGCTTCCTCTCCAACATGCTATAGTATGCTGGTTTATGATGAGCAGTTTCTTTAAAAAAGAAAATAAATCATTTTTATGGAAGTTGCCCTCATGCTTATTTCAGATGGCAAATTGCTGAGAAGAATCCCGTGTGCGGTAATACAGTGTGGTTACATGGCTGAAATTGAAGAAAATCTTCCCTCTGCTGGACGGTGAATCACTATAATATGCATTACCATATGCTTCTCCCTATTGTATTTCAGTATCAGGAGATTCGTGCACTCAGTTTGGTGGGTTCATAAACTAAACTCTGACATTAAGGGATCAGAGTTCAAATTATTTGTATATTTTATGTATAAAATAAGTAGATTATTGTTTTGTGCCATTAAGTTGCCTCTTCATTCTCAGTTTCAGGGCATGCTCAGTTCTTTAGATGGAGGAGTTACCAACATTCAAGTATAACTAAAACTTATCGATTTGAAATTTTCAGTCACATTTGTGTATTTGGGAATTTATACTAATGATATTGAGAAAAATGAAGCTTGAAAATAAAAGAAGACTTTGTTTTAAAAGGAATTCTTGTGGTCATAAAATAGCTCTGGAAAATAGCATTTAAATAAGATACACTTGAATACATGGGTGAGAAGTAAGTAGACTAAATTTTGTGTTAATTTAAATTTAGAGATAAACGCTTAGGAAATGTTTGAGAATCTGTGTAACACAAGTTACTCAAGAATACCTTCCAACATTTGCTGATCATAAAATGTGGATACTGATACTATGATAAGATTGTATATGCGTAAATATCCTTGAAAGTAACAAAAATATTACTTCGGTATGATGTCTTTAACACTCTTTCCAGGAGAAATTCGTTGTTATATATTTCTTAATATAAAAAGAGTACTTATGCTAGGGAGGATGAAATGAAGACAAGGAAAAAACATAGGTAATTTTCTTAAAAATAATATCCGTTCTATAATAGTTATGATGTTGAATAGAGGAGACTGATAGTATTCAAAGCTAATGTCATGAATCCTAAAAATCTATGAAAATCAATTTTCTAGATTCTGTCTACTATAAAAGATGTTTTCCACATTTCAGCAGTTATAATCTATGGTACTTTATTGGTGAAGAAAATGGATTATAAGGGATATAAATAAAAAGAAACCATTCGTTTTCACAGAGTGGGCTACAGTAAGTTTATTTTTATTTTTTATACATGAACAAATATACTTAAAATTAACCTGTAAATACTTAGCAGGTTACTTTAAGAAAAGGCTAAAGAATACTTACGCAATTTCCAATTAATTTGAAAATGAAAGACAAAGCATAAATAAAAATAGCAATTCAGGGTGATACATTATTAGGGTCAAGGAAATAATTGTGATAAGGGCAAAACTTTTTTAAAAAATGGCAAATCACTCTTGGCTAAACAGTTGAAGATACAGAGAAATGATCAAAAATTCATACATACTTGACCCTGAAGACTAGAAAGCATTTGGATAAAAGGAAATATAAGATAAGTAAGAATTACTTGAGCCTAGTTTACATTGAAATAGCTCAATAAGATAATTTTTAAGAGTTCAGATCAAATAATGAAGATGTAATCACTTAGCATTTGTGACAGGCTAAATAATTGCCCCAAAAGATGTCCAAAGGGCCATGAGCCAAAAATGCAGGTGGCCTCTAGAAACTAAAAAAAAAAAAAGAGAGAGAGAGAGAGAAAGTGGATTATTTCTTCAGAGCCACCAGAAGGAGCTAGTTCTAGTAACAACTTGATGTTAGTTGAGGCCAGTTTTAGAAAGCTGACTTCCAGAATTCGGAGATAAATTTGTGTTGTTTTAAGCTACTCAGTTTGTGGTAATTTGTTGTAGCAGAAATAAGAAACTAATAGAGCATCATTCACTCTCACCCAGCCTGGATTCCTAGATGTTCTGGGCCATAAGCGTGAAATGAAAGCTTTGAGAAAAAAAAGGAATTACGGAAAGTGGCAAATGCTGACAGAAAGGACTGATAACGGAGAAGATAAAAAATACAATTAATCTCTTACCCGAAAATTAACTAAAATCAATTAATTAATTAATAGATGATTTTGCATTGGAGTCTTTCATTTTGTAATATTTTAGTTCTGGCCACTTTTTACTCTGTAACATCTCTCATCTCTTTATACTCACACACACGTGTGCTTGCACACTTTTTATCTGTATTGTTATCTTCTTTAAACTATGTACTTCTTCATTATATTAATTATCCTGAATCATATTTTGCATATTTGTTGTGTTTGTTTTGTACGTAGAGATACTGAATTAAAGAAGGATTCAAATTTTATTCCATAGGTCATAAAGTTGAGGTTTAGCTGCTTAGTAAATAAGTGGATAGGCCAAATAACCAGATTAGAATGAATTTGGCTAGAATGTTATATATCTCCACTGATCTAAAAAGAAGCCAGGGATTTATGTAGAAAAAACTGCTACAACCTGTCTTAGACATGTGGCTATATCATTTAGGAAATCTTCTGTTAGAGGTGTCAAAAAAAATCCAAACTGCCTTAAACAATATCAACAAATTATTGGTGTACATATCTGAACAGTATGGAAGAGTGTGGGTGGCATGCAAGGATTCATTTGGTCACTGTCTTTCTCTCTATGCATTACGTAGGATGTATGCTTCATTTTAAGGCTACCTCTATTTTTTATTGGAAGTTAGGGTTAAATGTTAGGCCAGTATCTTTCTAGGGCTATATGCTTTTTCTGTTTTTATTTAAACAGCTGTAAGAGATAAATTCTTTCTTCATGGATTTTCAGAGGCAGGCAGAGACAGAGATATTTCCTTCCAAGAAGCTTTCAGTCATTGTCTCCTCACATAGGATTAGACCCTCAATTAACACCATGACTAGTAAGTATGTGTGACCTGCTGTTTAACTTGAGTAAAACTGGGGTCATACTGGAGCTAGAATTGGGGTAAACTTTCCTCTTAAGCAAATGGGCTGCATTTGGACATCCAATGGTGTGATGGAGGCAGCTCCTACCAGCTTGCAGGAGCTAAGCAGTCAGGAAATTTGCCAAACAGTTGAAATCAGCCACGGTGTGAACACTTACAACATGAAAATCAGCAAATATTATAAATCAGATTATCCTCCGTATCCCCTCAGGAGACTTAGTTTACCAGGACATTGTTAGTTGAAATCTACCAACATGTAAATAATAAACATATTGTGGTGTACTTGTATACTGGAATATGACACCGTAGTAAAACAGGAATTACCAATAAATTTAATGATATGGGTAAATTTCAAAGTAAATATACAAGTGAAAGAAACCTGACTCTCCTTTTGAAAAAATGTGTAGACACTGTAAGATTCCATTTATAAAAAATTGGAGAAAAATAGAAAATTACCCACAGTGATACAAACCAGATCAATACTTATCTTAGACTATAAGATAAGTTTTCTGCTAATTAACATGTACATCACCCCTAAAAGATTTATTGTAATTCCTTCACTGATCCTGCGGCCAGAGAGTGGGGGAATTACAATAAATCTTTTAGGGGTTGATGTGCTTATTAATTATCTTGATTGTGGTGATAGTTTTATGGGTATTTACATATTCAGACTAGTCAAATTATACATTATGAGTCTGAAAATTTTATCACATAACAAATATACCTCAATGGAGATATGCTTTAAAAAAATAATAATAAAACAATAAAAGAAAAAGAACTCACTAAGAAAATGAAGCGGCAAGACATAGACTGGAATAAAATAATTACAAATAATACTCTGGACTTGTATCCAGAATATATAAATAGATTTTTAAACTCAATGGTGGGACCAAAAAATCTAATTTTAGAATAGTGTAAATGTTTTAGTGCACATTTCACTAAAGAAATTATGAGTGGCTAAGAAGCACATGAAAAGATTCTCAACATCATTAGTCATTAGGAGAATTAAAACTAAACAGCAAAGAGCTACCACTACAAACTGATTAAAATTGTTTAAATAAAAAAGGCCAGTTGTATTAATTTGTTAGGGCTGATGTAACAATGTGCCTACCAAAAACTGAATGGCTTAAATTATTGTCTAAGAGTTTTGGAGACTGTAAGTCTGAAATCAAGGTGTCATCAGTGTTGGTTTGTTCTGAGAGCTGTGAAGAACAGATCTTTTCCAGGCCTTTCTGCATTTATCTTCACATGGCCATGGTGTGCTGCCTTCTCATGTCTCCCGTGTGTTCAAATTTTCCCGTTTTGTAAAGACCACAGTCATATTGGGTTAGGCTCACCCTAGTCATCATATTTTAACTTGGTTATCTCTGTAAAGACTGTGATTCTGTCTCCAGCTTCCTTCTGCCTGTCTCCAGCTTCCTTCTGCCTTTCTCCCCCTTCCATCTTTGCCAAAAAAAAAAAAAAAAAGACTGTCTCTAAATACCATCACATTCTGAGGCACTGGGTGTTAGTACTCCAACGTATCTTTTTTTGAGGAAGACATAATTTAACCTATAACACCAATAGTAATAAATTTTGGTGTGGATGTGGACAATCTTGAACACTAACATATTCTGGGTTAGAATGTAAATGGTACATTTATTTGGAAAAATGTTTTGTAAATTTCTTGAAAATTTAAATATAATTTTGCTTTACTACCCAGCAATTTTATTCCTAGGAATCTACCCAAGATAAGTGAAAACCTATATCCACACAAAAACTGAACATGAATATTTATAGCAGTACTCTTCAAATGTACATATATTTCCATAGCAGCCAAACTGGACACTATTCAAAAGTTCAACCACACGGGGTATTTCCATAAAGTGAAATATTATTCAGCAAAAAAAACCCCACAAAGTAATATGGAGAAACAATGAAAATCACATGAAATGAGATGTCAAACAGAAAATATGTAATTTCATCTATATTTAATTTCCAAACAAAAAATATGTAATTTCATCATCTATATTTAATTTCCAAAAGGAAAACAATTTTATAGAAACCAAAAGCAGACCAGTGGTTTCCTGAGGCAGGAGTAGCAGTGGGAATTGACTTCAAACAGACAAAAGGAACCACCTGGGATGATGGAGATGTTTAAACCAGATTGTGATAATGGTTTCATATTTCCTAAAAAAATTAATAAACTATACAAGCAAGATGAGTAGATTTTACTTATATTTAAGAATAGCCACATAAAACTTCCAGAAACTAGTCTATTTTAGTACTCCAGACAAGAAAACAAAAATGAAAATTGCTCGGACAAGAGTATTAACAGGACGGATATAAAGAAGTGCATAGCTTTGAAATGCGTTCTGGAGATAAAATAAGTAGAGCTTGCTGAAAGTAAACATTGGAGGGTGAGGACATAAGTGACATATAAGCTCCTGACTTGAGTAAATGGATGGATTGTGACCACTTTTCAGATATGAGAAATAATTATGAAGGAACAAATTTGGAGAAAAAAATTAAGAGTGCAGTGGCATGTCTAACTTTGATGAGATACCTGTGAGACAACCGAGTGAAGATGTGAAGTAGGCAGCTGTGTATATGTCTGGAACTGAGTTTAAATGTCGTGGCTGGAAATATATATTTGTGATACATCGGTATTTAGGTTGTATTTAAAGACATGGAAAAAGAAAAAAAAAATACTTGAAGAGACAGTATAGAAACAAAAGAAAAAGGCACCCAGGAAAGAGACTGAAGAAACTCTTAGTAGAAAAGGAGGAGATGGTAAAAGGAATCTGTGATGAGCATCTACTCAAATATCAAGTGTAGAAATATAGAGAAAAAGACATAGAGTGAGAGACACAGAGATTTAGAAACAAAGGAAGAGATAGAGTACGCAATAGAAATAATAATAGAGAAATGAGCAAGAACAAAATTTACCTGAGGGACTATGGGTAGGTAATTGTGTAAGAGCAAAGTGTTCATGCTGATAATTAGTGGTAAATATTTTAGGAAAAGTAATTTTCAGTGGTATACCTTGAATGTTATATAAATAATGTGAGCTTTTTCTCTGCAAAATTGAATTATTTAAGCATTTGTGAGTAAAGAAATTCTATGCTGAGAATGGTGATTTAAGAAAATAAATTCAATAGAATAATTTAGGGGATTGGGCCTTTACAAAAATCTGTTATGTATTTAGTAAGATCAAATAACTCAGGAAGATTATTCAAACAAGTTTAATCATTGCACACAGAATTCACTTGATAAAATCCTTTTCTTCAAGCTTGGTATGGCACAGCAGCATTCTCCTTGTGTGTGACAAAATATAAAACCATATTTCTGCTGTGAGAAATATGCATTTTTTATCTGTGGAAAATGTAGATATAAGTTTTAATGAAGTTACACTTCTATAGAGCCTCTACCATATCATATGGTAGAGACCAAGTGCATATATAGTCAATGCTTGAAATCCAATTATATGTAAATCATCACCACCAAACACTATCCATCTAATCTTGACAAGCCTTACAATTAGAAGGAAAAAGCTCTATCCATCTGTAGCTTACTTTTCGTTGAGAAGTAAAAATAACTCTAAAGTGTCTTGGCCATGACAGCCACATATATAAAGCAACATTCCCTTCTTCCTGAAAGTCTTTGTTTCTGTGGATTAAAAAGTCCTATTTCCCTTAAGTATTTGTTATATCGTAATCACTGTCTTCTTTGCTCCATTCTGAAAACTAAATAAACTTCATTTTTTAATTGATTCATGCCACTTACATTCTCAGTTTTCTCACAAACCAAATAAGTAAGCTGGATGGATTGGTGGTTTTAAAACTTTATTCAACAGCTTTTCAACAAATATGGCGTTTAAATATACCAATCATTTGAAAGTAACGCTGCTTTAAATGGGGTACAAGTCCCGCAATTACTCCCTATGGCATCTCTCAAGAATCTTGAGATTCCAATAACCATAGCTTGAAAATCACTTAGACTACATAATTACAAAGTTAATTTTGTCTCAATATTATGTTTTTAATAATTATCTTTATTTCACAATTATTGGACATTCTGAACCAGACGAATGCCATTCCTTGCCTTGTCCTTTGATTTTTAAAACATAAATGATTACTTGTGCCAATAGGAGGCAGAGAAGCAATGTGTTTGCAAAAGAAAGAATTTTATGAGATCCCACCGACCTAGTTGTAGACAGGGTTGGATAGCACAGAAATAGGAAGAAATCAATGTCAAGAGGCTCAAGGGATTGCACTTAGGTAGCCACAAAAAAAACAAACATTTGTGGTGAAGTTGAGTGTATCTAAGCAGAAAGAGCCAGAGATAATTGCCTATGTCTTAAAAAAATATCCTTCTGTTCCAGGAGCATCTTCTAGAGCACATATGCAATAATTTTCTACAGACTATGCATAGGAGCAGAATTACACAACAGTTGAGTATGTGAATTTTCTATTTTACAGGGTAAATTATTTTCCAAATTAGCTGATGTGGTTTATATTCTGATTAAAAAAGGATACTAGCATTTTTTAACATACTTGCCAAATTTGTATAATTGTCATAATGTACAATTGACCCTTGAATACCATAGGGGGGTTGGTAGAATCAATTCCTTGAGTGGTTTAAAATCTGTGTGTAATTTTTGACTCCATCAAAACTTAACTACTAATACTCTACTATTGAGCAAAAGCCTGACTGCTAAAATAGTCAATTAACACATATTTTGTATGTTATATATGTTATATATATTACATACTGTATTCTTACAATGAAATAAGCTAGAGAAAAGAAAATGTTATTATTAAAATAAAAACGGAATAAAAATTTATTTACTATTTATTAAGTGGCAGTGGATTATAAGAAAGGTCTTCATCCTTGCGGTCTTCATGTTGAGTAGGCTGAGGAGGAGGAAGAAGAAGAAAGGTTGGTCTTGTTGTCTCAGGGGTGGCAGAGGCAAAAGAAAATCCATGTATAAATGGATCACACAGCTCAAGCCTGTGTTGTTCAAAGGCTTTAACTGTAATTTATTTTCAAATGTGTGAGTGCAATATGGTAACATAGGGTTGAAATTTTTTTCTAGTTTTTCAACTCTGATTACTAATGAAACTCAAAATATTTAAATATATTTATGGTCATACAAAGTTTTTTCCTATGATTTACCTATTCATTGGTTTTACCCACATTCTATTTAATTAGAATGTTTGTAACACAAAGATGCTTTAGATGATGGATATGTCATTTACCTTGTGATTATTATGCATTCCATGACTGTATCAAAATATTTCATGTACCCCATGAATATATATACTATGTACCCATAAAAATTAAAAATTAAAAAGGTAATTTGTTTTATTTGTTATTGAAATACAAAGTTTTATTTTTGCCACTGATATTAATTTTTTCCTTTAAAATTTTATTTTATAGATTTAGGGAGTTCAAGTACAGTTTTATTACATGGATAAATGACTTAATGGTGAAGTCTGAACTTTTAGTGTAGCCATCACCCAAATAGTGTGCATTGTACCCATTAACTAATTTCTCATCCCTCACCCCCTTCTCACCCTCACACTCCTCTGAGCCTCCAGTGTCTATTATTCCACTCCATATGTCCATGTGTACACATTATTTAGCTCCCACTTATAAGTGAGAACATACATTATTTACTTTCTGTTTCTAAATTGTTTCACTTATGATAATGGCCTCCATTTCCATTCATGTCTCTGCAAAAAACATGATTTCATTCTTTTTTATGGCTGAGAAGTATATATTGTATATATAAAATCACATTTTCTTTGTCCAGTCATCAACTTAGGTTGATTCCATACCTTTGCTATTGTGAATACACCTATGATAAACATACAATTGCAGGTATCTTTTTTGATATGATTTCTTTTCCTTTGGGTAGACACCTTGAGATTGCTAGATCAAATGGTAGTTCTATTTTTTGTTCTTTGAGAAATCTCCATACTGTTTTTCATAGATGTTGTACTAATTAACATTCCCACCAATAGTGTATAAACATTCCTTTTTCTCTGCATCCTCACTGACATCAGTTACTTTTTGACTTTTTATTTATAGCCATTCTGACTGGCATAAGATGGTATCTCATTGATTTTTATTTACATTTCTCTGATGATTAGTGATGTTAAGCATTTCTTCATGTGCTTGTTGACCATTTGCATGTCTTCTGAAAAACATCTATTCATGTCCCTTGCCCCCCTTTTAATGAGGCAACTTTTGTTGTTGTGTTTTTGTTGAGTTGTTTGAGTTCCTTGTAGATTCTGGATATTAGTCTTTTGTTGGATGCATAGTTTACAAATATTTTCTCCCAATCTTCAGGTTGTCTGTTCACTCTGTTAATTATTTCTTTTTCTGTGCAGAAGCTGTTTAGTTACTAAGTAAGTCTCATTTGTCTAATTTTGTTTTTGTTGCATTTCCTTTTGAGGTCTTAGTCATGAATTGTTTGCCTACGTCAATGTCCAGAAAAGAGTTCCCTCAGTTTTCTTCTGGTGTTTTTGTAGTTTCAGATCTCACACTTAAGTCTTGAATTCATCTTAAGCTAGTTTTTGTTTATGGTGAGAAGAGTCCAGTTTCATTCATCTGCATATGACGAACTGATTTTCTCAGCACCATTTATTGAATAGGGGGTCCTTTCCCCAGTATAGGTTGGCATTCTCTATTCTGTTCCATTAATGTATGTATCATTTTTATGCCTGTACTATGCCGTTCCGGTTATTATAGACTTGTAATCTAACTTGAATTTGGATAATGTGATGCCGAGATCAGCTCAGTCGGGTTCGGTCAGGGAGAACCTAACCCAGTGGTGCTAGAGGAATTAAAGACACACACACAGAAATATAGAGGTGTGAAGTGGGAAATCAGGGGCCTCACAGCCTTCAGAGCTGACAGCCTCGAACAGAGATTTACCCACATATTTATTAACAGCAAGCCAGTGATAAGCATTGTTTCTATAGATTATAGATTAACTAAAAGTATTCCTTATGGGAAACAAAGGGATGGGCTGAAATAAAGGGATGGGTTTGGCTTGTTATCTGCAGCAGGAGCATGTCCTTAAGGCACAGATTGCTCCTGCTATTGCTTGTGGTTTCAGAACGCCTTTAAGTGGTTTTCCTTGCTGGGTGGGCCAGGTGTTCCTTGCCCTCATTCCGGTAAACCCACAACCTTCCAGCGTGGGTGTCATGGCCATCATGAACATGTCACAGTGCTGCAGAGATTTTATTTATGGCCAGTTTTGGGGCCAGTTTATGGCCAGATTTTGGGGGGGCCTGTTCCCAACAATGTGATGCCTCAAGCTTTGTTTTTTGGTGAGAATTGCTTTGGCTAACAGGGTTCTTTTTTGCTTTCATGTAAATTTTATGATTGTTTTCACTAATTTTGTGAAAAAATAACATTAGTATTTTGATAGGAGTTACATTAAAACTGTAGATTGCTTTGGGCTGTATGGTCCTTTTAATGATATTGATATCAATACTATCTACAGTTTTGTGCAGTAATTATCTTCTCAAAATTTGTGGCTAGCCTTTTCACTATATAAATATTTTTAATTTTATAATAATCACATTTTAAAATAATATCCTTAATGATTTTATCTTTCTTGTTTTGTTTTAAAAATACATTCATACACTGAGGTCATAAGCATAGACCTTTATGCCTTCTGAAAATTTTAAAGGATTGTATTATTGCATCTAATACACACAAAGTTTTACTATAAAATCCAGTTTGAATAAAAATATGCGTTTCTTTTCTCCAGAAGGAAATAATGTCCTAGGTTAATTAATTTAAGAATGTATATATTCCCCAATGATTTGCTTTGGTAGCTCTCTCATAAGTCATATATATATGTCTATATATATGTCATATATGTATATGTCTATATATGTCATATATGTCAAATATATATCTATTCATGCATTTATCTTATCTTTCTTTTCCACATCTCTACTTACATACCCATGTGTTAATACTATCAAAATTATAATTTATTCTACTTACAGTGATTCTGAATTATAAAATATCTGAAAATAAGTCTTATTCTCTAACTCAATTATAAGCTCAAGGAAGACAAACACTACATATAAATTACAGTATTTATAATTAACAAAATGAGATAACTTTAAAGAACAAAGAGATAAGAAAAGAAAATGAAGAAAGAAATAAAGAAAGAAGGAAAGGAGAGAAGTAGTTAGAAATAGAGAAAATTTTACTTTTTTCTCATTTCAGCATTTTTCAAAGAAATGGAAAATTAAAAGCCAAGAAAAGTAACAACAGGGAATTTTATCCCCCAAGATGATAATCATCTCTAAATGAAGGTAAACTATTATGTATTCTGTTGCATACTTAGTATAATTATTTGAATGGGATAAATAATTCAATTTGCTTTGGAAATACACAAATATGTCTCTACCACTTTCTAGTTGTGCAAAATAAGCAATGTATTTAACTTCTATGTTACTCAACTTTGTCTTCTATTAAAGGGATTCATATCAGCCTTATATGAAAGTTAAGAAGATTTATGAAGATAATGAGTGCAAAGTACTTAACACAATGTTTGGTATGGTTTACTCAATAAATATAGTATTGTAATTACAAAATCAGTTACTTAGAATTATGAAAGTATGAATATAAAATAAAGATGGGGATATTTAATAGGTACTATTTTTACCATTTAAACAAAAATGACGGCAGTAAAATAAATTACTTTTTGTTGTAATATGTGTGCTGGTAGTGTAAGGCATTAAAAAAAGACATGGTGCATGTGTAAAAAAATCTACAGTAAGGATTTCCTTCTACAATTACATATTTCTTAAGCAAATATAAATTGACTCTGGCTCATTTATGCTGGGATACCAAGAACAATTTAAAATAATGAAATAAGTAGGTGAGCTTCAACATACAACAGAGCTGCATCAATACTCTAATCAGCTCTTTTCAAAGAAATAGCACCTAGAAAACATTTTTGCTTATCAGAAATAATGGTGTGGTATTGCATACGTGGTGGTCCAAAGAATGATATTTTTTCTCTTTGGTATGAAGAAGTATTTTTACCCACTTCGTGCCACTTGTGATAAACAGAGGTGCATGTAAAAAAAATGAATTTTTTGCAATGTAATTGCTTTGGATTACTTTTATGATCAGTTTTTCTTTGGTTCCTCTCTTAGCTTAAGAAAGTTTTATAAAGCTATTATTGAAATGTATTTAATTTCAGTTTATATTACTTTTATCTACTCTGTTACTTTCTAATATTTTGCTATCAAGTTGAATTATTACTTTAAAATATTCTAGTTCTTTTCTGTAATCCAAAGAATAATTTCTTCACTAGATAATTGCTAGGGCTAAAGTATTATCAAAAAGAGACCTTGGAAAGTTTAGCAACATTGTATGATCCATCCTTAGTTTTACCAAACAATTTAGCAATTTTAGTCTTATCTATTAAGCAAACTGATTTTAAAATTTATTTCAACACAAACATCTTCACACTGGCCAGGCATGGTGGCTTATTCCTGTAATCCCATCACTTGGTTAGGCTGAGGTGGGATAATCACTGGAAGCCAGGAGTTTGAGGCTAGTCTGGGCAACATAGAGAGATCCCCATCTCTACAAAAAAAAAAAAAAAAAAAAAATTAGCTGGGTGTGGTTGTGTGCACCTGTAGTCTCAGCTACTGGGGAGGCTGAGTTGAGGGGATCGCTTGAGCCCAGGAGGTCAAGGCTGTAGTGAGCCATGATCATGGCCACTACAACCTGGACAACAGAGTGAGGCCTGTCTCAAAAAAAAAATCTGCACACAAATATTTTATAGCTGCTTTATTTATAATTACCTAAGCGTGGAACAAACAATATGTCCTTCAGTATGTGAATGGAAAGACAAGCCTCAGTACATTTATATATAGGAATATTAAATATTATTCAGCAATAAAAAGAATAAACTGTTAGCTCACATAATAACTTGGGTGAATCTTATATGCATTGCTAAGTTAAAGAAAACAGTCTGAAAGGCCTATATACTGAATCATTCTATTTGTATGACATTCTGGAAAGAAAAACTAGGGAGACAAAAACAGATCAATGGTTTCAAGTGGTTAATAAAGAGAGTGGGCATGAAATACATGAAGCACAGTTTTTTTTTATGTAGGTGAAACTATTCTGTGTGACAGTGTAGTGATACATATATGACACTGCATTTGTCAATATCCAAAGAGCCTTTCAATACACAGGAGGAACCATAATGTATACAAATGTATAGAATCAATGAGGAAATTAATGCACCACAGGAAGGAATGTAGACATCAATAAAATATGTAATGAATTATAAATGTTTGAAATAATCTCACTGAATAGAATGCAGGAGTGGGTTCTGAAAAAACTAGAGAGTAGAAGACTAAAGATCAAAAGAACTGTACATAAACACTCTACTCTAGTTGAAAAAGTTGTTTCCCATCATCAGGGTATGAGTTAACAGTTCTGAAACCATTATACATGTAAAATGAAAATGAACAAAAGACTAAATGTATAGAGGATTGTGGGAGCCATGTTTCTCATTGTTGAAGTTGGAGGTTATAAATAAGCAAGGGGGAAGATTAGAATAAACCATAGGGTACCAAATTAGGACAGATAAATCAATAAGTTAGCTCTCTCTCTCTTTCTCTTTCTCTCTTTGCGTCTATATCTATATACATATATTATATGTAGTATAGAAATAATAATAGATATTGGTGTGTCTATGTGTGTAGATAGATGGATAGATAGATAGATTGTATACACATGTATCTCCTAGTTCTGTTAACTGAGAAGACTTAAAAGCAATGAAATCTCCATAGAAACAGGGACATACAATACCCAAATCCTGGTTTCTAATGCCACTTTTCAATGAAAGAAGTCAGGACTCATTGGATAAATGGCTAATTCTACTGTTAAGGCAGGATGTAAAAAGATGAGCTGTAGTAACAGAGACTAAGGAGATGCTGAAAAAAAAAGCAGTTGAAGATATGTCACCCTTGAGGAAGTAAATCACAATTATCCACTCTTAAGGATAGGTGGCAAATAGTTATTTTCTTTGTGAGAGTTTAGCATGGAAAAAAAAGAAAAGAGTAACTTTAGGTGGAGAAACCTTACAAATGTTACCTCAAGTGATTAAGGTTACACAATAATAAGTCATGCTGATAATATATACCCTTGATGTGACGTGATGAGAATGGCACTTTACTCATAAATCCATAACCCAAGTCTAATCATGAGACAGTATGAGACAATCTAAACTGATGTATACTCTATAAAATAGCAAACCAGTATTCTTCAAGACTATCAGGGACACCAAGAATAAGGTCTGAAAAACTATCACAGTGTAGTGGAGCTTAGTAGACATGACAACTAAATATAATGTGGTATTCTGAATGGGGTCCTGGGACAGACAATGGTTATCAGGTAAAAACCAACATCTTTACTTAGTAATGACATGCAAATATCAGCTTGTTGGTTATGACAAAGGTACCATACCAATGAGAAATGTTATTAATAGGGCAAATTGGATGTAGGATATACAAGATACCCCAAAGATAGACATATTACATTTTCATATTTCTGTTAATCTAAAAGTATTCTAAAATAAAAAAGTTTATTTTAAAAAAGCCTCTGTGGATGAAGTAAGAAAAGCTAAATGGCTATGAAAGATGAATTATTTCCCTTATATGGCACCAAAATGTAATTCTGCTCCAGAATACAAAAAATATGTATTTGTGATAACTGGTTGAATTTTATTAAAAAAAAAACACATCAAAATTGTTTCAAAAATTCATAGTCTTAAGTTTTACTAACCCGTATACTTAGGGAGCTTATTTTGTTTCAGTTAAACTATAGAAGAAATATTAAAGTATTGGTTTTGTTTAAGCATTAAACATTTATTATTTGAAAATCTCTAAGAGTAAATAAACATTTGCTACAGGGTGTTTTCTGTTTACTGTACGGGCATTTTTAGATTAAATTGAGTGAACAAATTAATTTAAAACATCTTACCTGTTATAAAATTTACTGAAAAGTCTTATTATATATCTCTGCAATAATAGTGATTCCTCTACAGTTTAAAATATGATTAAAGTAACAGGAAAGTTGACATCAACAGCGAAGTGAGATTAATTGATATTGAATGCAAAATGATTATTGAAGGCTTCAAAGTGCATTGATCTGGAAGCCTTTACTATTATAACCTTCTGCTTTACTAATAAGTTACAAGTGCACTAGACAGAATAAGCAAAAATCAATTTAATAATTCAAAATGAGTCGAATATTCTAACCACAGTCCTCATAGTTACATTAATTGATTTTTTTTAATGGCAAAAATGCAAGCTTAAAGCATTAACCCAAAAGGATCTGAGGTCATTTCCAAGTCAATGTGAGAAATGATTTCAGGTTTATCAGTACTTAGATTTGCAAATTGAGAGTATTGTTATGGCAAATAAAAAATGCTAATGCTGATCATATCTCATCTACATTTTTCAGTATTTATTTAGTGCATAATTGTTTTTAATTCTTCTTTTTCCTAATGGAGCAGTGACTCCTCATAATCCATAGAGTGATTCTTCAACTGTAATTCAAAGACCTTTGTTGGTTCATGGAACTGTTCTCAGAGGTTCAAGAATGAACAAAATTGTATTTTAACTTTACATTTGAAAAAAAATTATATAATCTCCTCTCACACTTTATAACTAAATAATGCCTCATAATTATCATGTCTAATTGCCCAAGTTTACATTCGTGTTTAAAAACATATTGTCACCTAGTAGTATTTTTTAATTGGCAATGACTTTGAAAAATAAACAGGTATGAATTTAAATACATGAATGCCACATAGAACAAGTTATTACATTAGACTAAATAGAAGCTAGTTTGACTAATACATAAGGAAAAGTGATACGGTAATTGAGGTATAATTACAAAATACAAAAATCTAGGCATACCACAGGTAAAATAACTACATAAACAACTGGGCATTCATATTGCAATGAAATATGTCATAGAGATATTTTTGTAAATATCAATTTGTGTTTATTAATTCAGTGACAAAATCTCCAAAAAATTTTCTCACAATTATTTATTTAACATATGATCTTTGGAATTGGCCATTAAAACAATGGTTTAGTTGTTAATAATTTCATCAGTGATAATAATAATATGTCTAGTAATAATTAAGTTGATAGCAATAAGACAGACATATACATTTCTATTTTTAATCCAATGTCTATGACTTAGTTTCTATAAGTCAACATCCACTATTATATTAAATCTATGTTACCAAATCCCATTTCATTTGAAACATTTTTGTGTTTAATTGATGATATATGTTTAGTCAATAGTTACATAAGAACGATGTGTAAAAAATTTGAATAAACTTAAGTGTGTATATATTTATGCAAAATTATCATACAGCATTATGGTAACATTAGAAAGTTTATGAGAAATACCTGACTATCTGTGGTTTCCTGCATAAAATATACCAGAGTTTCAAAATATGACATGTGGCCTATAATGGCCCTTGATCAGAAAATTAATAGAATGGAATATATGATATTACAGTGATTTACATGTAGAAAGAGTAAGTATTTTTTGAAAAAGTCTCAATTTTGTGCATGACTGCCAACAAATTATAGTCCAGACTTATGCCACCCAAGATGATCTCTTAGAAGTCCCCTTAGCTAATCCTGACCTTAACCTATATACTGATGGAAGTTCATTTGTGGAGAATGGGATACGAAGGGCAGGTTATACCATAGTTAGTTATGTAACCACATTTGAAAGTAAGCCTCTTCCCCCAGGGACTAGCGCCCAGTTAGCAGAACTAGTGGCACTTACCTGAGCCTTAGAACTGGGAAAGGGAAGAAGAATAAATCTGTATACACATAGCAAGTATGCTTATCTAATCCTACACGCCCATGCTGCAATATGGAAAGAAAGGGAGTTCCTAACCTCTGGGGGAACTCCCATTAAATATCACAAGGAAACCATGGAGTTATTGCACGCAGTGCAAAAACCCAAGAAGGTGGCAGTCTTACACTGCCGAAGCCATCAAAAGGGGAAGGAGAGGGGAGAACAGCAGCATAAGCAGCTGGCAGAGGCAGGAAAAGACCAGCAGAAAGGAGATGGAAAGAGACAGAAAGAGAAAGAGAGAGAAGAGACAGAGACAAAGAGGGAGTCAGAGAGAGAGAAAGACACAGAAAGTCAAAGAGAGAGAGGAAGAGACAGACAAAGAGGGAGTCAGAAAGAGGGAAAGGGAGAGACAAAGAAGTCAAAGAGAAAGAAAGAGAGAAGTAGTAAAGAAAAAACAGTGTACCCTATTCCTTTAAAAGCCAGGGTAAATTTAAAACCTATAATTGATAATTGAAGGTCTTCTCTGTAACCCTATAACACTCCAATACCACCTTGTTGTCAGTGTAAACAAGGGCATAGCCCAAAAGCACTGAGGCCACTGACAACCCCTAGCCTTCCTATCAAAAATCCTTAACACAGCAGGTTTACTAACTGGGGATATAAATCTTAATTAATTACGATACAAAGGTCCGACCAGACCTAGGAGGAACTCCCTTCAGCACAGGACAATAGATGATTCCTCCAGGGTGATTAAGGGAATAAGGCACAATGGGTGTTCAGTAAGTGATAAGGGAACTCTTCTAGAAGCAGAGTTAGGGAAATTGCCTAATAATTGGTCTGCTCAAATGTGCGAGTTTTTTGCACTCAGCCAAACCTTAAAGTACTTACAGAATCAGGAAGGAGCTATCTATACCAATTCTAAGTTAATATGGACTGACCGAGCTTTTATTAATAGCAAAGAAAAATTAAAATCCTAAACTTACAAGGTTTTCAACAAAAGTAAAATTTGCTAAAAGTTAACAGTGTAACATGCATTATCCTAATTTCTAATCTTATGGAAATCAGACCCTATCTGTGCCCCTCAAAGCTCAAGTCCATCAGCACAGGGCCATACAACTAATACCCCTACTACTTATAGGGTTAGAAATGGCCACTGCTACAGGAACCAGAATAGCAGGTTTATCTACTTCATTATCCTACTACCACACAGTCTTAAAGGATTTCTCAGACAGTTTGCAAGAAATAACAAAATCTATCCAGTAAGGATAGTAACTACAATCCCAGATAGATTCTTTGGCAGCAGTGACTCTCCAAAACTGCCGAGGCCTAGACTTCCTTACTGCTGAGAAAGGAGGACTCTGCACCTTCTTAGGGGAAGAGTGTTTTCACACTAACCAGTCAGTTATAGTATGAGATGCTGCCTGGCGTTTACAGGAAAAGGCTTCTGAAATCAGACAACGCCTTTCAAACTCTTATACCAACCTCTGGAGTTGGGCAACATGACTTCTCTCTTTTCTAGGTACCACGGCAGCCATCTTGCTATTACTTGCCTTCGTGTCCTGTATTTTTAACCTCCTTGTCAAGTTTGTTTCCTCTAGGATTGAGGCCATCAAGCTACAGATGGTCTTACAAATGGAACTCCAAATGAGCTCAACTAACAACTTCTACCGAGGACCCCTGGACCGACCTACTGGTCCTTTCACTGGCCTAAAAAGTTCTGCTCTGGAGGGCGCTACAACTGCAGGGCCTCTTCTTCACCCCTATCCAGCAGGAAGTAGCTAGAGCGGTCATTGCCCAATTCCTGACAGCAGTTGGGGTGTCCTGTTAAGAGTGGGGATTGAGAGGTGAAGCCAGTTGGGCTTCTGGGTCGGGTGGCAACTTGGAGAACTTTTCTGTCTAGCTAAAGAATTGTAAACACACTAATCAGCGCTCTGTGTCTAGCTAAAGGTTTGTAAACACACCAATCAGCATTCTGTAAATATGTACCAATCAGCGCTCTGTGTCTAGCTAAAGGTTTATAAACGCACCAATCAGCACTCTGTAAAATGGACCAATCAATAGGATGTGGGCAGGGCCAAATAACGGAATAAAAGCTGGCCACCTGAGCCAGCAGCGGCAACCCGCTCAGGTCCCTTTCCACACTGTGGAAGATTTGTTCTTTGTCTCTTCACAATAAATCTTGCTGCTGCTCACTCTTTGGGTCCACACTACCTTTATGAGCTATAACACTCACTGTGAAGGTCTGCAGCTTCACTCCTGAAGTCAGCAAGACCACAAACCCACCAGGAGGAAGAAACAACTCCTGACGTGCCACCTTTAAGAGCTGTAACACTCACTGCAAACGTCTGCAGCTTCATTCTTGAAGTCAGTGAGACCAAGAACCCACCGGAAGAATAAATTCTGGACACAATATAACACACATACAACACACATATATATTTGAATTATCACCTATTATATTAATGATTTCTATTTTGTGTCCATCTTTGAGAAATTGAAAGCTACTTGATGGAGATTTCATCTTACTCATCTTTGACACTAAAATGACTATTGTCTAACAAAATCTGTTAAATTGAATCAAACTACTCTAATAAAGCTGTTCAAATACAAACAGCTAAGGCAAATGAGAGAGTTTTAATTATGTGACTATTTGGACCCCACAAATGTGTATTTTAGTCATGTTTATCCTTTATTATATAAACAAGGGTGGGATAATATACAAAAGTAATATCATAGTTTATTATAAAACTAGTATTTCTAATTAATGCAGATATTAGTACAAGAACTGTGCTGCTGCTGTAATGAAAGCTAAACTATGGGACATTAACTTAGTGGTCATATGGAAGGCAATGAAGAATTATATATTGAAGATTGGAAATAAGAAAAACTTATTTTGTAGTGTATCAAAACACAGGGAACAAACTGTTGACTACAATAACTTGAATTGCCTCTTGAATCTAGAACCTCAAGGAAGACGGCTAGAAGGATAATATTAGTATATGCTGGTTATTCCTTCATAAGAAAGAGGTGAATTCAGACAAATACTGATTTGTTTTCAAGGGGAAATGAAGACGCATATAGAATGTTAGTTTCTGGGTGCATTGCGTAGAAGAGAATCAAGCTACTTCTTAATTTTAAAAGAAGTAGAAAATAAGATTAATCAGGGTTTAGGGCAATAAGGGCCATTGAAACTTCTGAGTTTAATACAAACAAACAAAAGAATTCATTTTTGTAATCTCTGAATAAAGGTTCTCTTATCCAAATGTATTTTTTAAATTAGCTGCTACTAAAATGTGAAAGAGTGTTTGAGTTGAACATAGAACAAAAATGAAGCAACCTTCTCGTTTGAGAGGATTATACATGGAAAAAAAAGACTTAAAATTTCTGTGAATGTGAAACAAGCTGTCAGAATGCAAGGAATAATGGGAACCTAGGACCCAGGGAGCTACAAAATAAGGAAGCCTGGGACTCAGAATCACCTCATAAAAGGACTGCTGAAAGACAGTCTTAGAATGCCATGTGAGCAAAAAAGAAATTTCTATAGTTTTTGAGCCATTTTATGTGTTTGGATTTATTTGTTACAATAGCCCATAATTAGTAGCAATACTCTGAGGAGAAAAAATAAAATCTCAAAAATGATTTACTTCAAAACTCTGAGTTCTAGCCCTGAAATTTACTTTATTATTTGGACAATCTAGATTATCTATTGGATTTCTTACTTGTATAAATACAAAAACAAACATAAACCACCTGTATAAACTAATGTCACAACACCTTCAGACACTAAATTGTAACTGTAGGGATAAAGTAAGGGTTGTTGAATAAGAATTTAGAACTCTCAGATAAACCCATATAGAAATGAATGATTTTTTTAATATTGCCTAGTATTTAAAATAATCTCATTCTAGAAATCACAATTTTAGAATTTTTCTTTACTGCTCTATCACTAAAGTTCCCTTTTAATCAGGTTATTGTCTTGCTGACAAACATTGAACATGGTCCTATTTCTCAAACTTTTAAATCTCCTCCATAAATATCAAATCTATGCATACATAATTGCAGTATTTGTTTTTACCATTATATATGTATGTATGTATATGTGTGTATATATACATATGTATTTACATTATCGTTAGTATGGTCAATCAATTATAATCAATTTGTTCCTATTGTATAATAAATCCATACTCATTTCTAAAACTCACTTACAGTGATTCCCTTACTTGGACATCGACCTGCTCCAATCTCCCCAGTGAAAATTCCAGAGAATCTTAAACTCTTACTTCCTTCATGAAGCTAATCCCATTTTCTCCGCAAGCCTGTAGAGAACTACATTCATCTTCACTGGTGAAAGTTATTATCTAATAACTTAATCTTGAATATTAAGGTCTTTCAAGGAAAGGAGAATGTTTTGTTTCTGTAACTATGATTTCATAACTGTATAATATTTAATTGAGAAAGCAATTTTGTTTTTCATATAATATTTAAAGAATAGAGAATGCAATTTTGTTGTTCAAAATTGCAATGATAATAGTTTTAGTATAGACATAAAAAAGCCACCAGGCAAGAGTGACACAAAACTTTGTTCCTCAAACAGTAAAAGGAACAACAAAAAAAGAGAGATGCATTTATTTGTTTGTCTTATTGTCACCCTTGTCAAATAAAAATAAGTGTTGACCTAGGTAAAGACAAGCGTTAATTGAAAATATTGTTGTAATGGAAAAGGGGTCATTGCAATAGGGGAGGGGTTACTGCTACAACAGAGAGAGTGCTTGTCTATAAGATCTGCAGGGATCTCAAATGTCAGGCAGAGAGGATTGTTCTTTCATAGACAGGGGTAAACATGCTGGAGAGAACTTGATACATGGAAATATGATGAGCTGCTGGCATGCCTAGTTGACGAGGCAATACCTTTTCTTCAGGAAATTCTTGGGAAGAGAATCCTCAACTCAAGCTGTTGGTGACTCAAAATTTAGGAGCCTTTGGGAAGGAAATAAATTTACCTAAAGTTATGTCAAGTGACATTAGTGGGTGTTTTGTTCAGACAGGGTAGTAGGTGCAAACAGTTCAGCTAATCATTTATGATGAAAAAATAGGAATTTAAAAAGTCTATTTCTGTAAACAAGGGAGGGGACATCTCTGATTCTTCTGGAAGTCATATAGAGAAAATTATTTGTTTTGCATGAAGCCAGTGCCAAGAATACAAAAGAGTGGGGAGAATTCTTTTTTCAAATAGATTTTATTGTGTATAATTGAGGTTTACAACATGATGCCACAGAATACATATAGACAGTAAACTGGTTACTATAGTGAAACAAATTAACATATCTGTCATTTCCAATAGTTATCTTTTTATGACAAGAGCAGCTAAAGTCTACTTATTTAACAAAAATCTCTCATAAATTACGTTTTTACTGACCATGGTCTTCACATTGTACATTAGATCTCTAGACTTGTTCATCTTATGTATCTGCTACTTTGCATCCTTTAACCTACATCTCCCCATTTCCTCCCCCATCTCCACCCATTCTTGGAGACCACTGTTTTATTTCATATACACACACACACAAATAGATAGATAGATAGATAGATAGATAGATAGATAGATAGATAGATAGACTCCACATATAAGTGAGATCATGTAATATTATTCTTTTCGTGTCTGGCTTATTTCACTTACATAATGTCTACTGAGTCCACTCAGGTTGTAGCAAATGGCAGAATTTCCCTTTCTAAAGCTGAATAACATTCCATTTTCTCTATCCATTATTCCATCAATGGACACGTAAGTTGTTTCTATGTATTGGCTATTGTGAATCTTAACAGTTTCTCTTTTCCAGGAGCATAGGGCTCAAGTAAAGTTTAACACTGTCACCTGTCTCTTACTCTTAGGTATGCCTCAACATGCAGTTGTCTTAGAGAAGCTCCTCCCTAAGGCCTGCCCAATGCCCTATGCTGTTATCATTTACCTTTATCATAAAATTCTGGTTGAATATGCACTCTATGTTAAGATAGTTGCAAATGTAATTGAAACATTTTAATAATTTCAATAATTCATATAATTTTAATAATCTTCATTACATTGCATTTTTGAAACATTTCTGAAGATTAAAAAAGTATACATTTCCACAATAAGATACTGCTTAACTGTCTTAGGGAGGTAAATATATTCTGACTTCTGTGTTACTTACTGTGATTGAGTGAATTTTATTTCAAGAATAAACAAATATATCAGTTCTCATTTCTACTTTGCCCAATGGTTGGCCAAAGAAATACTATCCAGTCTAAACATGACAAGAAACACAACTAAAAACTTAAAGATTTCTGTGATTGCATATTGCCATTGCCATATGCTTTCCATCCAACACTCATCGGGAGTTTACTCTGTGAGCTCCAAAGAAGCAGGTAGAATAAATTAAGAGGTCTATTATATTGTTTGAAAGCAGTATTTCACTCCCTTAATGATTTAAAAGGAGAATAGGGTGGGCCACTTTTGAGATTTATGCTTACTGCTGATAGTATTAACTTCTTCCATGGTCAAATTATCTAGAAAAAGAAACCAGTGAATTCTAGCTCCACTTGCCTTTCAAGAAGTGTGTTTTTGTTGTTGTTGTTGTTGAGTCATCAAGTTTCTCAATTTTCATCTACCATTATATTTTTTTAACAATCAGAATTCTATAATGAAAATAATTATTATAGTTTTCAGTTCAACCTTATTGGGAGCTAATATATTATTTTGAAAAATAATCTCTTGATTAGTCATATATGAAAAGAAGTATTATTTAGCTTGAAATCTAAGCTTCTGCTTCTGGCTAGAATAAACTCACCATTTTCTTTTCCACAAGAAACTTGTAAAATAGACAAAATATATAACAAATATTTTTAGACATTTGGTACTAGGCAGTACAAATATGTAATAAATGAAAGAAGGGTAACAATCAAGAAAACCCTTGAGATGACTTCAACTTTCTGCCTAGAGGCAATTTCAGCATTGTGATATACACACACAGCACAGGCAGTTTTGTCCAGTTGTGGAGACAGAGATTGAAGCGCCAGTTTCTTGATATAGCTAGAATTTAAGAAACAAAAATTCTTGAAATGACATATTTTCAGAAAAGATTTTGAAAAATTTGCCTGGGGTTTTCTTGAGTGTTTGGCTAAATATTAAATGAGTCATAGGGCAGAACTTCATATCTGTAAAAAGAATGACTAAGCACCTATAGGTGGAACACTGTAGACCTCTACCTAAGGAGTTAACATTAGAAGATGGTCAAATTCTAACCAATCAGAGAAGAGAATCAAGAGTATTCATTAAGAACCCCCAATTCTTAAACCTGAAAAGAAGGGTAGAATTGACCGTAGAGGGAAAGTATCTCTAAGTCCATTCTATAAAAGCTTAAAAACAAATCTTGAAAGGATCAAGCTAATCCAAATGCAATTTATGCTGCCTGCCAGAACAAAGTCCACTACTCCTCTTTAAAAGAAAATAGTGAAATTGACCACACAACCAGGTAAATTTGCAACATTCAGCATGCAATTAAAAAAAAACCTGCATATTAAAATAAGCACGAGTGGGTGAACAATAACCTGGAGCAAAGTTAGCCAATTAAAAAAATAGAAATAATAGATGTAATAAAATTAACAGATGGACTCTAAATATAGATTTAAGATAAATTTGCTAAAGAGTTTTTAGAATACCATGTATATAATGAAGAGATAAATGAAGTATGTAAACAATCTAAGTGGAAAGTAGTAGGCTGAATATTGACCACAAAGATATGCCCATAATCTGATATCCTGAATCTGTGAACATTACCTAATATGGCAAGAAAATCTCATTAAGTTAATGATTGTGAGAGGAGGAGTTTATCCTGGATTATGTTGGTGGACCCTAAAGTATCCTCATCAGAGTGAGGTAGAGTGAGTTAAGATGCTGGGAGTAGAAGGGAGTGTGAATAAGACTGAGCAGAGAAAGCTGTAGTCAGAAGTAAAGGAATGCTAGACGGTCATTAGTAATTGGAGAAGGCCAGAAATGGATTTTCTTCTATGGCCTTCACATGGACTGTGACCCTGCCTACACTTTTGTCTCAGACTTTTGGCCTCCAGAGTTGCGAGAGATTACATTTCTTTGGTTTTAAACCACAGTTTGTGGTAATTTGTTATGACAACCTTAGGAGATGTTTGCACTGGGTAGGATTTTAAGAAACATCATAGAAAAATCCTAGATTGCCTTAAAGTAACTGCTGGTAGAAATATGGGTATGAAAGATAATTCTGGTAAAGGCTCATAAGAAAATGAGAAACACATTATTGGAAGAGGGAGGAAAGGCTATCCTTGTCATACGGTGGCAGAAAACTTGGCTGAATTGTGTTCCACTGTTGGGTGCAAAGCAGAATTTGTAAGTAATGAATCTGGATATTTAAACAAGGAGATCTCCAAGCAACGTGTTGGAGGGGCAGCCTGGTTTCTTCTTGCTGCTGTAAAATGTGAGCAAAATGAGATAAACTGAGAAATGAACTGTTAAGCAAAAATGAACCAGCATTTGATGATTCGGGAAATCCTCAGCCTATCCAGATTGCAAAAGATGCTAAAATTAGGAGATTCACTTTAAGGAAGATGTGCTCTGGAGAGAAGCCCAAGTGTGTGGCTGGGCAAATTTTTCTGAAAACATTAGGCATGTGACTCATGGATCAACTCAATTATCTCAGCAGAAAGCAAGAATATAGGATTATCCAGGAAATATCTGTGGAGGACCGTCCTGCCTAAGGGTCTGAATCCCTGTCAGGTGACGTACAAAGTTTTTGAACATGGTATACAAACAAAAACAGTGAATTGAAAGCAATAGAGCCAGAATGACATTAGAGAAATCTGTCAGAGTCCCAAAGTTCTATAGGCAGGAAGCCGGCTGATAAAACCCTTTAGATGCACATGTTTGTGCATCTGAAAAGGAAAAGTAGAAAAACGAAAAAATCTATAGGCAGAAAACCAGCTGATAAAACAACTCAGATGCACATTGTAGAATTATTTTTCTTTTTTCTATTTTTCCTCATGTTTTTGCATCTGAAGAGGAAAAATTGAAAAAAGGAAAAATGATTTTAAGGGCTGAGTGTTGGGCCTAGAGGACAGCACTGTGAGTCACAAATAATTATTTGCAGGCCTTGAAAAACGAGTGAAAATTTCTCTGCTAGATTTTGAACTTGCTTGGGAGCAGAAATCCATATATTATTTCAATTTTCTCCCTTTTAGAATGAGAATATTTATGACCATTATTCCATGCCTGTTCCACCGTTGTATGTTGGAAACGGCTTGTTTTCTAATTTCACAGGTGCATAGCTATAGAAGAATTTTGCTTCAAGGGCATACTAAGAGTCTCACACATACCTGATTTAAATGATGAGATTTACAACTGATGACATTTAGATGAAGTTTTGGTTACAAATAGATGTTGTATTGGACGGAGACGTTGGGGAATGTTAGAATGGACAAGTGATTCTTTTGTATGTGGATGAGACATGACTCTTGGGAGGTCAGAAGTCTATAGCAGACTAAAAAAGGTCACTTCCTGCAAAGTTACATTCATTTTCTTTTTCTAGAATAACTGAATAGCCTGTTATTTGGCAAAAGAGTATAAATTACTTTATATGGCAAAGATGTAATTAAATTAAAAATCTTGAGTGAAGGAGCTTATTCTAGATTATTTGAGTTGACCCTTAATTCTGTCATGTGTACCCCTCTAAGAGAGGTTCCTATGGAGCTGACACACATACACAGGAAAGCAAATGATGTGAAGATGGAGGCAGATATCAGAGTGATGAAGCCACAAGCCAAGTAATGCCAGGCAGTGCCAAGCAGCTACCCAAAAGTTGGAAGAAACAAAGAAAAGAACCTAGATACTCTGGAGGAAATGTAATGCTGCTGAGACATTGATTTCAGATTTCTGGCTTTTATAACTTGGGAGAATACATTTCTGTGGGTTTTTTTCTTGTTGTTGCTTTTTGTTTGTTTGTTTGTTTGTTTCAGGCAGAGTCTTACTTTGTTACCCAGGCTGGAGTGCAGTGGCATGATCTTGGCTCACTGCAACCTCCGCCTTCCTGGGTTGAAGCGATTGTTTTGCCTCAGCCTCCCAAGTAGCTGGGACTACGGGCGCCTGCCACCACACCCGGCTAATTTTTGTATTTTTTGTAGAAATGGGGTTTTATCATGTTGCCCAGCCTGGTCTCGAACTCCAGAGCTTAGGTTATCTGCCCTCCTCAGCCTCCTATAGTGCTGGGAATACAGGCGTGAGCCACAGCTTCTGGCCATTTCTGTGGTTTTAAGCCGCCTGGTTTGTGGTAATTTGTGATAGCAGTCATAGTAAACTAATTTCTAGAGATGAAAATAAAACATATGAAATAAAAATTTCACTGGATGAGATTAAAAGTATATTAGACACAACAGAATTTTACATTTGTAAACTTGAAAACACAGGAATAGAAACTGTTCAATCTCAGGCACCAAGAGGAAAAAGGCTGTACAAAAACAGACACAGCCTCAGGGATCTGTAGGACAGCATCTAGAAGTAAAACATCTTGGAGTCTAAGAAAATGATAGTTGGGGGGGCAGTTGAAGAAACTATGCAACAGTTTCACAAATTAAAAGAAATAATCTTACAAATCCAGAGATTCCACTAGTTCAACAAACAGAAAACAGGTAAAACAAAAATAAAGCTACAACTATGAACCTTATAATCAAATGGCTAAAAAAATGTGGTAAAGAGCAAAATTTAAAAGCAGCCAGAGGGGAAAATAATTACATATACGGAACAATAAGACAATTGTTACTAATGGCAAGTATGCAAGTTACTGGCAGTGAATCCATAAGGGCTTGCAGCAACAACAGTCATCAATTCTTGCCTCCTCAGAAGAAAGAATTCGACTGAGGGGCATAAGGCAGAGGGAGAGACTAAGGCAAGTTTTAGAGGAGGAGTAAAAGTTTATTAAAAACTCCAGAGCAGAAACAACAGGAAGGGAAGTACACTTGGAAGAAGGTGAAGCCAGTGACTTAAAAGACAGGAGCACGATTTGATCTTTTCACTTGGGGTTTTATATGTTGGCATATTTTTGGGGTCTTGTGTTCTGTCTTCTCTGATTCCTCCCTTGGGGTGGGCTGTCCACATGCACAATGGCCTGATAGCAGTTGGGAGGGGAGCATGCACAGAGTGTTTACCAGAGTTGTACGCATGATCACTTGAGGTGTTCTTCCCTTACCAATCTAGCATTCCTGGAGGAAGATCATATACCAGTTAAATTTGGCCATTTTGCCTTTTAAGGGACATGCTTGAGTTCATTCACCCAGCGCCTGAGATTTTTATCAGGAAGCTACTGACCACTAGTTTCAGGTGTTTCTATTTATTGGGAAACTGCCTTTCCTTGGCTCTGGTTGCAACCAATTATTATTTTAGAGAGGCAGTGTGACAATGTCTGACCACCACCTTATGGAAGCCTGACATTCCTGGCAGGTTTGGGTGGCCAGGGCCCTCTAATGCCCTACTTATGCCTGACTAGCCACCTACTGTAACAGAATGACTATAGGTTTTTCATCTAGTATGATGAAGAATAAAATACAATAAAGTGGCATCTTTAAAGTACTAAAAACATTTTAAGAATCAACCTATACCAGCTAAAAAGACTTTCAAAGTGGAAGCTGAAATAAAGCCATTTTCAGAAAAACAAGCTTAGAGCTTTGTCCCTAGCAAGCATGCACCACAAGAAATTATAAAGAAGTTTTTTAGGTACAAGAAAATGATCCCAGGTGAAAATTTGGATTTTTATAAGGAAAAAAGAAATCTAGTAGGCTATTTTTCTCATTTTGTAAAAAAAAAATTTAAGAGGTAATTGCCAGGTTAAAGTAAAATTAATGACACTAAATCGAGGGGTTAAAATAAATTCAGGAGATAATAATAGCAGATAAACTTTACAATTCAATTTTTGCATTTTTTTGAAGAAAGAAAAAAGTACACAGTTTCCTCTTATTTTGCAACTTTTGTTTAAGTTTTCATAAGTCAATGTAATTATATTGTACAATACAGTGATTAAATAGCAAAACAAATATAACACATACAATTTTATTAAATATTTTCTGTTTGCCTACATGCTTTGGAGGAAAAAGATATATTTCCTCCTTTATTAGGGAAGTCCTCCTATAAGGTTACTGATAAAAGTGATTAATAAATAGAAAAAATGTATAATTTCATTGTCTGAAAGTATGCTTCTTCTGGTATGGATCCCTTGTATCCAGTGTATATTGTTTAAATTTTATCTATTAAAAATATTAACCCCTATCTGAAGAAAAATTAACTAGAACAGTTAAAGTATTTTGCCAATGTTTTATTTTAAAAATTCTATTTACAAAATATAACAAGTTTTTTTAGAAAACACATGTATGTGTAGGATGGTCAATGTTTTTTCAATAACTTTCAAGCCTACTTACATGGAAACTTCTTAATGTCTCTCTGTCAGAAAAAAATAAACCAGTTGAATGGCAAACTAGTGAGATATACCTTTTACGACAATTCTAAGCTTATTAACTAAATGCATGAGCAAGGAAAAGTGTCAGAGTTTTAAATTCTTCCTTCATCAAACATATGGAAAATACTAATTACTCTAAATCTGCAAAGTTACAATAAAATTTTTTATATATTATTCTAAATACAGCACAAACATTGGAACCTTTTAGCAGTGGCTGAAAACACTCCTTTATCCCCCATTCTTTGTATTTCACTGAATCAATAATCTTTTTTTTAGGTGTGTTTAGGTGTGGATTTACTGGGTGGAACTTACAAAGGAGATCAGTGATGAGACAAACACTTTCTTCACTTCCTAACAAGACAGGGATGTTATGTGGGCTTGAATGTTCTCTGGCTTCCCTTTGATGGCTACAAAAAGTGTTGGCAAGTAGCTAGTGAAACTCACTGAGCAGTCAAGGAACAGAAAGGTTAAACAAAGCACCATCCAAGACAACTTTCTGTGATGATGGAAATATTAGGTATCAGCCCAACAGTCACATGCTGCTATAATGCACCTGAAATGCAATGTGACTGGAGAACTAAATGTTTAATTTCATTTGATTTTAATTATTTTTTTAAACATTTTAAAACTATGCATGAATGGTGGTCATGTATTAGACAGCTGGAATCTAGACCACAGGTTATCAAACATTTGTTCCAAAAGGGCAGAAAGTAAACAGTTTTTGATTTCTGGGTCAAAAGTTTTTGTTGCAACTATTCAACTCTGTACTTTGAGTGCAAAAACAGTGACCTCACATTGCATAAGTGAATGGGCATGGAGAAATTTGCCAGATGGCAAGCTGAATTTGGCCCTTTAATTTGCTTACACCTAGTCTAGAAAAATTTTCAATAAGTTTTGGGTGGGACATTATTTTTCACTGGCTTTCTTAACATGGACCTGAACAATTCAAAAACACACACATACAACTTTTAGGATGAAAACGATAGTATTTCAGATAAAAACTAAACAGATCAATAAGGCTCATAAAGAAAGATGCAGAAATTCTTAACAAAAAAATGTAATTGTATATTTAATAAAAGATTATCTGCCTTGACTAAATAGAGTTTTCCCCAAGAATGCAATGTATGTTTATCATTTCAAATGAAATCAATGTATGCTCCACATTAGTATATATCTTTTTAAAAAGATCATCCCAATAGAAGCAAAACAGTCATTTGACAAAAACTCAGTATTCATTTCTAATAAGAATTCTCAGGAAGTTAGGAATGGAGGGGGACTTACTCTAACTAATCAAAAAATTTTTTGAAAAACCTACAGCTAATAATATATTTAATTATGAGAGTGTGAGTGCTTTTCTCCTAAATTCAGAAACAAAGCAAGGATATCCACTCTGACCAATTCTAGCCAATATTTTCCTGGAAGTTCTAGCGAGGGCAAGAAAAATAATAAAAATAAAAAGTATTCATATTGGCCAGGCACGGTGGCTCACGCCTGTAATCCCAGCACTTTGGGAGGCCGAGGCAGGTGGATCATGAGGTCAGGAGATTGAGACCATCCTAGCTAACACGGTGAAACCCCATTTCTATTAAAAATACAAAAAATTAACCAGCGATGGTGGCAGGCTTCTGCAGTCCCAGCTACTCAGGAGGCTGAGGCAGGAGAATGGCGTGAACCTGGGAGGCAGAGCTTGCAGTGAGCCGAGATCGGGCCACTGCACTCCAGCCTGGGTGACAGAGTGCGACTCCGTCCCCCCAAAGAGAAAAAAATAAAAAATTATTTATATTGAAAGGAGGAGATAACACTCTCTTAATCCAGGGAAGGTATGCTTATTTATGACAAAACCTTAAGGGTTCTATAGTAATACTCTTAAAACAGTTAAGTGTGTTTGGCATGGTTGGAGAGATAAAAACTAATTGTATTTTCATATGGTAGCAACTAATGCTTGGAAATCAAATTTTAAAAAACAGTGCCACTTTCAAAATATCATTAAATATATGAAATATTTTAGTTAAATGTGAAAGACCTGCAAGTTATCTTTACTGAAAACTACAAATCATTGCTGAAATAAATTAAAACCTGAAATAAACTGAAAGATGTATATGTCAATGGATCAGAAAATTCAATATTTTAAGTGATGTTTAGTTTTTGAAACTTTATCTCTGGATTCAAAGCAAGTCCAACCAAAACCACAGCTAGTTTTTTTATATAGAAATTTTTAGGTTGATTTTAAGAAACCTGACATAGCCAAATGCAATTTAGAGAAAAAAGTTAGAGGATTTATGAGAGAGGAGGCGATTATAGGCTGATTAGGCAGATAAAGAAGGAGGGTCTCAGGAGTAGAAAAATACCCACAGGAACACACCTGCACCACCCCTGTAGCTAGTGGAATGAAATGTGGTTAAGAACTTCCTTTTATGCCAGGATGTCTACTCAGAAGGGACTGACTTAGTCCCTTCTGCACCAACTTAGGTGCAGGTATAATAAATCAATCTAAATGTCCTTAACTTGACCCAACTCCTTATAATGTCATTAGCTCGACATTAGCATTGTGGTTTTAGTCACACCCCCCCATCGGTTTCACTTACATGTTCATGGGTAATAACTAAGATGGAGTCACTACTGCCAACCCCAGGCCTGGGCAGACACAACACTCCTAAGGGGGAATTTTATCCCTCCTATTTGGACAGAACGCACAGAAGACTTCTTTGCTCTTGCCACATAAAAGACCCAGAACTCAGCCCTATTTCTGGCAACCTGCTTTCAGGGACCCTCTCTTTGCTGACAGCTTTCCTTTTGCTAAAAAAATCCCATTCTACTCACTCTCTGGTGTCCATGTGCCTTATTCTTCTTGGTTATCGGACAAGAACTCAGACCTAGCTAAACTATGGACTATTTAGACTGCAACATGCTGGGGGCTCACCTAGGATCATCAGAAGGATAAGTAGGAGTGAACCTATAACTCTTTAATTTCATTTCCAAGGCTCTTTGTCCTAACTTTTTTTTCTCAAGATGAAATAAAACACCAGGTCTCTGTTGACCACTTAAGAGTGAATAGTGTGGCTGCCAGTCTTAAGACTCAGAAGACAGGCTTGCTGCAGAGAACTTCATTGGCTTGGGTGTTGGGAACATTCGCTCTGTTTCAGTGTAGTTTCTCTTCACAGAGGTCTAGCTATCATGTGGGATTGGAAGGAGGTCCTAGGGAAACTGAAGGTATCTGGCTGAGGCTACACCTCAGTGTTACCCAAAAGGCCCTGGACTAACTCCAGTCCTCAACAGCCCATTAGGGTGTCAGCACCAGGATTTCCAGTCTTTCCCTATTGCATTTTCTTTCTCTCTTTTGTGGCTTTTATGGCTCCTATCTCTTCTTTGTATGCAATGTTGCAGGTGTTTTTGCAACCCGGCAATATAAATTTGTTGGATAAAGTCAGCAAGTGCCTTAGTAATCAGGAATGCAACTCAAAGAATTGCTGTCTTTGTAATTTTCTAGAGAGAGAGAGCAATTTCAAGATCTAGACCTGAAGGCCTCTTTGTCCCCTAATGATAGCACCCAACGGCATTGCATGGGGAGTTATTTCTCCCAGAGTAACTATCCTCCTCTCCATTTAAGCTGTTTCTTTTTTCCATGTGAGAACTTAGCATTGCCCAGTGAATCTAGATATCCCTTCTATGAGGCAAGTTAATTTTATTCTCCTAAAAGGCTTATTGTGGGGGCAGTCCACAAAGCCTCAGACCTCTCTTTCAAACCTACATCTGAAAAGGATTTGGACACAAAGTTACAGGCTAACTTTCCAAACCTTGTCAAGGCACCTGACAAGGCAAGGATTTGTTTCTGTGGGAAGCCCTATCAGCCCTATGTCCAGGGGAGCCCTAATTCCCCTGTTGAAATTGTGGAGAATGAGCCAAGCCAACTCCTACATTTCGTAAGACATCTATTCTGCTTCCAAGTATAAGGACTCCTGGGCAGGAGGAAGGGGCTATGTTTAGAAGTCAATCATTCCCATTTCCTTGAATAAACACTATGATTTGACTCTGTCCATTACCTATCAGCCAAGGGATTCCCTGAGAGATTTGAGTGTAAGAACTCCATTAGAGTTTCTTCCCCAAATTCAAATACTTCAATGTATTTTCCAAGCTTTGTGTTGGAAGCTCAAAAGAAGAAATAGATCTGGGGAACCCCAAAGGTAGTCAGCACACAGGGCTGGGGCACAGCATGGGTAAATGCAACTATTTCTACCTGCCAATCCTCCTAGTCCATGGCTGGAAGTCACACTTGCATCCGTGTGTGGCATCTATGAAGGTTGCTGGGACCCAGAGGACACAGTGAGGGAAAGAGGAGACAGGGAATGCCTTTTTTTTCTCTCTCTCTCTATATATATACATATATATATACACACACATACATATATATACACACATATATACACGCATATACACACACATATGTGTGTGTATATATATGTGTGTGTATATATGTGTGTGTATATATATGTATGTGTATATATATACACACATATATATACACACACATATATGTGTGTGTGTGTGTGTGTGTGTTTGTGTGTATATATATATGTATATCCTAGGTGACCATAAAAGTGGGAAGGAGACTAAGGGACAACTTTTCTCCTCTCTTTTTCCAGATGGGTAACAGCCAATCTTCAGCCTACACTCTCCTTGAGTGCAGCCTGGATCACTGGGTCTCCTTTAACCCTCAGACCCTAAAGTTTGCTCTGGGAAAGCCCCAGCTTCACTCATGTATAGAGGCCTTCCAGAATTTAATTTTGAATAGTGTCTAAATTCTCCTGGAAGGATAATATGTTACTTTTAAATCAAACCCTGACCACTGCTGAGAAACAGGCAGCCCTGCAAACAGCTAAGAAATTTGGAGATTAGCTTTGTATTTCATATAGTTCCAGAGAGGGGGAAGAGCTTTATCCCATTGGAAAGACAGTAGTAGCCATTGGAGGACCCTATATGGGACCCCAGTGATAACATGGGAGAATGGGGGAGAAAACACTTGTTGAGAACAAGCCCCCCAAAATCTGGCCATAAACTGGCCCCAAAACTGGCCATAAACAAAATCTCTGCAGCACTGTGACATGTTCGTGATGGACATAATGCCCACGCTGGAAGGTTGTGGGTTTACTGGAATGAGGGCAAGGAACACCTGGCCTGTCCCGGCGGAAAACCACTTAAAGGCATTCTTAAGCCACAAACAATAGCATGAGTGATCTGTGCCTTAAGAACATGCTCCTGTTGCAGTTAACTAGCCCAACCTATTCCTTTAATTTGGCCTATCCCTTTGTTTCCCATAAGGGATACTTTTAGTTAATTTAATATCTATAGAAACAATGCTAATGACTGGCTTGCTGTTAATAAATATGTGGGTAAATCTCTGTTTGGGGCTCTCAGCTCTGAAGGCTGTGAGACCCCTGATTTCCCACTTCACACCTCTATATTTCTGTGTGTGTGTCTTTAATTCCTCTAGCGCCACTGGGTTACGGTCTCCCGGACTGCGCTGGTCTCAGCAATACTTTAAAATGTACATAGTGGAGAACTTACAAAGGACTCAAATTAGGACCAGATGAGAATCTGTCTACCTTTCTAGAAAGGCTAAGAGAGACCTTGGTGAAGCACACCTCCCTATCTCCTGATTCGGCTGAGGAACAACTATTTCTGAAGATAAGCTTATTACTCAGGCAGCCCCTACTATCAGGAGGAAGCTGCAAAAGTAGGCCATAGGGCCAGATAGCACTTTAGAAAACCTTCTGAAGGTGGCCGCCTTGGTCTGTTACAATAGGGATCAGGATGAAGCCCAGGAAAAAGAGAAGAGAGATAAGAGAAAGGCAGAGGCTCTAGTGGCTGCTCTTCAGACCTATAAAACACAGAATCCCCAAGGTGCACCTGCCAATTGCTACAAGTGTGGCAAACTAGGGCACTTTAAGAAGGATTGCCACAGCAGCAAGAGGAAGCCACTTGACCCTGTCCAGCCTGTGGTGGGGACAACTGGAAGGCAGATTGTCCATGGAGGCATAGGTCAGCGGGTCCACAGCCAGTCTCACAAATGGGCCAATAGGACTGATGGATTGTAAAGCTCGACTCTCCAGCTCCAACAGCTCAGACTGCCATTACCATCCAGGAGCTCTGGGTGATTTTGGAGGTTGAATAGAGGAGGGTGGACTTTCTTCTGGCTCCAGAATCACCATTTCTGTTCTCCTCTTTAATCCCGGCCTCCTTTCCTCCCTTAACGTGTCTCTGAGGGACATGTCAGGAAAGCATTTTACTCAATATATTTCCCCTTAGCTGTAACTAGGAAAACCTCTGGCTTAACTCATGCCTTCTTAATCATATACAAAAGCACAACTTCTTTGCTAGACAGGAATACTCTAGCTTGTATAACAACCATGGTTCCAGGACAGACCCTCTGCCTTTCTCTGTTGGAGACTGACACTGATAGAGAGGTTTAGAACTCAAGGCTCCCCACACCAAAAACTAGCCAACAGCCTAAAATCAGGCTAGGAAATAAGATGGCTACAAACATCTTCCTAAGATCAATCCTGGAATACTGGAGGCCCTGTAATTGGAATGTGGGGCTCCCATCAGCCACTATAGCAGTAAACTTGTGGAAGACCTGAAATACCTGTTTAAAAGACAGCCAAAAAGTAAGTAAATGACTACTAGCTTACCTTGGTAACTTTGTTACATAGTTACTGTAGACTATAGTAGCCATTTTTTATTTTTGCTGATTTCTAATCTAACTGATCCTTTGGGAGAAGTCAATTGCTATTTGGAATCAAATCTCCCAATGTCCAGTTAAAAATTCCCATGGATACTGTCTTCGATATTCTTCTCATAATTTTGTCTATACTTTCTGCTCTTGCTTTCATTTTAATCCTCACTATAAAACAACTTGTCCAAGGACCTCTTAACCAGGAACAACCAGGGATTATCTCCTTCCCTAAATAGTGTTCTCTTTTCTAGAATTTAGTGTCTTTCACAAGGGTGCAACAGTTATAGCCACAACATTGCTTTCAAAGGGATTAGCCTAATTTACCTCTTATTCCTGTTATTTTTCTCTCTTTAGCTCTTCTTATAAGCACTTGCATTTGTTCCAAGCATATGTAACCTCCTTAGATAAGTAATTTTAAGTAATCTTTAACCTCTGTTTATATTATGAACTTTTTTTTTTTGAGACTGAGTCTCGCTCCTGTTGCCCAGGCTGGAGTGCAATGGTGCGATCTTGGCTCACTGCAACCTGCACCTACCTGGTTCAAGCGATTCTCCTGCCTCAGCCTCCTGAGTAGCTGGGGTTACAGGTGCCCACCAACATGCCTGGCTCATTTTTTATATTTTGATTAGAGACGGGGTTTGACCATGTTGGCCAGGCTGGTCTTGAACTCCTGACTTCAGGTGATTCTCCTGCCTTGGCCTCCCAAAGTGCTGGGATTACAGATCTGAGCCACTGTGCCTGGCCATGAATTTCTTTTTATATTGGCCTTTCTTCTATTTATTTATATTTATTAGGTCTACCACACTTTCCAGGCAGGCACCACAAATTCCAGGTTGGCCAGTGCTTCTGCGGTCCTTTCGTTTCAGCCCCTCCATTATATAACCTATAAGAAGTCCTCCACTGGGGATGGGGGCCACCCTTCAATAATTTATAAACACTCCTCCAGAATAACACAAATCATACATGTAGTAAAGAATTAAACTTAACTATTATGGCATTCGCCTCTGGGAGTACATTTTGCACTTCTGGCACATTTACCAGAAATTATTTGATAAGCCAGATAAGTGAGATACCACTCACTTTCCTAAACGCTTCCAACCCTTTTCTTAAAATGCAACAGTAGTCCTGGAAACCCACCTATTCAGGCTACTAGTCTGGTACAAAGATAGGGGGCCTCCATAACTTGACAAGAAATGGTTTCCTCTGTACTTCTCAATATCCTGTGTTTCCACCTGGAGACAAACAACAGGGAACACCGTATGTCATGCAGCAGGACCTTTACTTCCAATCTTTATTCTCCCCAAGCTTTTGTTTATGAAATATTTAATGGGAATAGAGGTATTAAAACTTGTCAGAACAAGAAAGTTTGGACAGTTAATGACTGCATTCAATATATGTGGGCAGATTCAATTGATGGCACCTTAACGAGTCACTCTGCCTTGTAAAAGGCAGGAGCATGGGCTGGTACTTCTTGGCATCCTTCAGGAACCGAATAATCTGTCCCAAATTGTTTACTCAGCCAGGACTTACAGAAATGAGTAAACTCACTTAATAACATCACTATCATCTGTGCACCTCAGGGACTATGGTTCGTCTGTAAAGACCAAAAATAAATAATGTGGGCCTTGAATTGCCTATATCACACAGTAGTGCAAAGAATGTGTTCACTGAGCTAGGTGTTGCCCCTGGGGGGCTCCCTACACATATACCAGGTTTCCCATAATCCCTTCCCATCAAGAACATACCAGACAGAAAGGAGAAGTAGGTCTTACAGCCTTGAGTGTAACAACAGCAGTTATATCCATAGGTGGCTTGGTAGGAGGAATAGTTTACAATGGATATACAATCCAGAATGCATCAAGTATAATTGAACAGAATGCTGAAAATGCTGGTCAAGGTCTTAAGTTGCTCCAAACTTCATAAGATTCACTTGCCAATCAGGTGATGGATCATAAAATAACCCTTGATTATCTTTTAGCAGAAAAAGGAGGGATATGAGCTATAGCAAATACTTCTTGTTGCTTTTATGTTAACTCCTCAGGAGAGGATGAGCTTAGGGCTAAGCAGCTATTTCATAGAGCTAAATGATTAAGAGGTACTAAGACCCGTTTGGCTGGAGATATATAGAATACTATTAAAGGGTATCTTCCCTCAATGGCATGGTTTCTACCCTTGTTAGAATGCCGGGTAATGGTTATCTTAGCTCTGCTTTTTGGACTTTGCATATTAGGCTTTCTTCTAAAAGTTGTGTCTTCTTGCCTAGAAGTCATCAAAATTTAGCTGGTGATGCAGATGAAACCCCACATAAAAATTCCAGTTAGGGTCACCACTCCAGAGAGGGGAATGAGCGAGGAGGCAGATAGAGGTTGGATAAGCAGATAGCGAGGGTCTTGGGAGTGGAAAAATATCCGTGGGACCACACCTGCACTGCCCCTATAGCTAGTGGAAAGAAATGTGGTTAAGAATTTCCTCTTATGCAAGGATGTCTCCTCAGAAGGGACAGTCCCAACTTAGGCACAGGCACAATAAATCAACCTAAATGTCCTTAACTTGATGCAACTCATTATAATGTCATTAACGTGACATTTGCATTGTGGTTTTAGCCCCCCTTTAAACCCATCAGTACTTAGGCACCCCAAGGCGGAAATTTGCCCCTCCCATTTAGGCAGAACCCACAGAAGACTTCCTTGCTCTTGCCATATAAAAGACCCAGAACTCAACCCCATTTCTGGCAACCTGCTTTCAGGGACCTTCTCTTTGCTGAGAGCTTTCTTTTTGCTTAATGAACCCTACTCTATTTATTCTCCAGTAGCTGCGTGCCTTATTCTTCTTAGTCATCGGACAAGAATTCGGACCTAGCTGAACTAGGGACTATTTAGACTGTAACACTTATACCTTGTGACTTATACCTTCAAGACTTAAAAATAAATCCCTAATATTTAAGACAATATGGTATTGGTATAAATATCAGCAACAAATTAATCAAGGAACTAATTAGAGTCAAAAATAAAGCTATATATATATGTTCAATTGATTTTTCACAATGTTCATAGGCAATCTGGTAGAAAAAATGTAGAATTTTCAACAAATAATGTTGGAAAATTTATTGTCCATACAGTATTGAATAAAAAGAACAACTGGGATTGATATATTATACCATATAAAAATAACTAAAAGTTCAGAAACCCCAAATTCCAAAACTTCAAAGAAAATAATTTTTAAAATATTTATCCTTGGATTAGGCAAAGATTTCTTATATCTCATACCAAAAGGATGACTTATTAAGGTATAAATAGTTAAACTTCATCAAAATGAAGAACATCCAAAGGCACCATTAAGAGAATCAGAAACAAGCTACAAACTATGAGAAAAATATCTGAAAATCACATATTTGTTTAAGTACTATATTCAGAATGTATAAGAACTCTTATTAACCTCAGTAATAAAAAAACCAACAGACTTTTCATTGAAGAAGATGCACAGATGGCAAATAGACACATAAAAATGCTCAGCATCATTATTCATTAGGGAAATAAAAGTTAGAATCCAATGAGATGCCACAACGCACTTATCAAAATGTCTCAAAGTGAAGACTGACTATACCAAGGGTTGAAGGAGATTTGAAATAACCTGAATGTGCATTTCCTGCTGGTGGGAATGTAAAGGGGTAGATCCACTTGTAGAAAACAGTTTCACAAGTTCTTAAAAAGTTATTCTTACATCTACCATATGCCCCAACCATTCTACTCCTAGGTATTTACCAAGGGAAATGAAAGCAAATGTCCAAAATTCGAACCAAATCTAATGGCTACCAATATGTAAACAGAAATACATATTGTGCTATATGGTTACTCAGAAATGAAATGAAACAAACTCTTGACACACAATAATGCACATCAGCAAGTTCCTGAATGAAGGACAGTCAGAATAAAAGAGTACATACTGTATGATTACATTGATAAAATTGTCCAGAAAATACAAACACCTCTGTAGTGACACAAATTTAATCAGTGATTGCTTGAGGATGGAAAGATAACTGAGAAGGAACATAGAAAAGAGGGAACCAGAAGCTTTCCTTGTGATGGGTATGTTCATTATCTTAACTGTGGTTTTGGATACAGGTATGCTTACCTATATCAACATAATACACTTTAAATATGTGCAGTTATTTTATGTCAACTATATCCCATGATCAGTCAGCAGTTAAGTATCTCAGTAATCTTTGTCTATGAAGCAAGTGGAATGAAATTGGGATTGAGAATATTATTGGTAACAAAGCAGCAAGTCTCCCAGAAGGAAGTTTTATGGTTTTTAAAAGTTTTTATTTTCTTTTTAAAACATCTGTGGTAGAGCCTTATATAGAAACATTGTTTCCATGGCCTTGTGCAGGTCTCATTAGAAACATTTTTAATAGTCTTATACCTGGAGGGCTGATTTTCATTTCCCCAAACGGTATTCTGATTCTTAATGGCAGGTATTTTTAGATAGACATTCCTCAAATGAGAATGCTAAATATGAAATTGTGAACAAATGGGAATAAAATTGTAAGAATTGAACCTCCATTTGCTTTCAATATAAGTCATTTTGCCCTAGAAAAATTAGGCAAAATTTATTCTAGGTTGTTAGCTTAATATACTTGACTATTTTACTACACTGGGGCTTGAGGTTGGGGTGGGAGGACTCCCCCTAGTAGTTGCTTTGCTTTGTTTAATTATTTTCTTCATAGATCCTGTAAACATGAGCTCTGAGTGGGTGTTCAAATGCACGGCTGGGTATTCTTGGATTCATATTAGTAAAAATTATCCTAGTCCTAATCCCAATTTCAGGAAGTTTGAATAACTAGAAGAAGATGCAAATAGAATTTGGTGCAAAATCCCCCCAAGAAAATAAAATGAGTTTTCCACATTGTAAGATATTTGAAATATTTTATACCTTCAACAACATGACTCCTGTTAGAAAAAGTATAACACTGAATACATTATGAGGATCAGGGGAGGGTTGTTTGGAACTGAAATTAATAACTCACAAAATCCTATATGATTCAATCTAAACTGAGTACAAAATAAAAAGAGAAATATTATATGCTATTTAGGGCTTTTGTTCAGTGCTATCAGGCAGCAGGTAATTGACCGACTGCCATTTTACTCTTCTTATTGTTCTTTTAATCTCTTCACTCAACTTCAACAAACTTTTAATTTGTTTCCAGAATAATCTTCATCTATGCTCCTAAATCCCTTTCCATGTTTATATACAAAAATTTAAATAATTAACAAACAGCTTTCTATCCAAATAAAGCTCCATATTAATCACAATCATCAGTTTCTGAAGATACTCCCAAATAATTTTAAAATCTCAAGGAGTAAAAGCATACTTTTAATGAACACCCAGCTTTAAAACAGATTTCTTAATCTTTTAACAAGCCAGTCATACCTAAGTACAGTTTACACAGGAAGTTTAGAGCTGCTAACTCTGAGGGCTTATGTTATTTTTTCACAATATCTTAGAAATAATACTTTCCTGTGCACTTAAGTTTGACTAGTACATTTCATATATACTTAAATTTGAATCATGGTGGTAAATAATTCATGATAAAGTTAATAAATTATCCTATAGAGAACTAACACAGTTTATCAATGCACATACAAAAATACAAAAAAACCTGGCATCTGTCTTTACAATGAGTGTACCATTGCTTGGTGTTGAGATGAAATATATTTTGTAAATCTTTACAGTTCTAGGGACAAATAATAAAATTGGCAAAGTCCACCTTTGGGATATTTTGAATCTTATAATACAATTTATTTAGAGGTAAAAAAGAAAACACAATAAGAAAGAAAAAGCATTATAATTTATGTAAGAGCAGAAAAATATTTTTGAAGTTTTCTAAGAAAGTCTCTGGAATTCAGGTGAATATAATATTAGTATAAAGATAGATTGATCATACAATCAAATAAAAACTGTGGAAAAAATAAATAGAAAAGAAGACAAAGGTACTGAGAGCCATCCACAGTAATTGTTGTGTATACAGATAGAGGAAAAAAAGCATTCAACTTCTGAAGTATAATGTAGTTTTAATACCTAAGGTCATCTAGTTGAAAAGAATAGAGTAAAGGGATTGCTATCCTAAAGCAATGCTGATACAAATGTAACATGCATATGAATCACCTGGCATCTTGTTAAAATGTTAATTTTGATTCAGACCCTGGCATTCTGTATTTCTAATAAGCTCCCAGAAGATGGGGATGCTGCTGCTTCCCAGATCACCCGTTTAGTAGCAAAACACCAGAAGGCATACAAGAAAAATGGTCAGAGATATAAATGTAAACAAATATTTTTCAAGGTCTCAAGACTACAAAAGGGAGAAAAGGTATGGGTTTAAGGATGTCTATCCAAGTGAGGACATACTAAACTTTAGTGAGACCCAAAGAAGAGGCTGTTAATTCATTGACCAAGATAAGTACCAATCCTATGGATTTCTTGTTTTAAAATACAGTGCATTAATTAAAACATTTGAAGTATAGTTAGGGCAAAAAATCAGAAGGCTATTGTCATTGAAAAGATAGTTGATCACTCACAGCTTAAGGGGAAGGGCTATGCCATGCCTTGGGGAGCCACTTAGGGAGGCATGAGGGTTAGGTACAAGGTAGAAGAAATGGGAGAACTGTGGGAAAGAGCCTTTATTGTAGTTTCTGCAGGAAAGAACAAGTAGAGAAAGGTAAGATGACTTAGTATTGGTTAGTTTGAATAATTTAAATACGATCTAGGGCATAGAGGTTTTCCTTCATTTTGTGGTACCTGAATCTGGGGTGACTAGGGCAGCGACATAGCGGCCCAGTGAAGGAGGTGGTTGTGGTGTGGCTCTCCATTGGTTGCTTTGTTTTTGAAAAGCTCACAGACAGGCACATTGTATACTATCTCTGTAAACTGGATAACCCTGAGAGGGACAGTTCCTCAAGGGAGAGCAGGGGTGTGGATGTCAAAGTATCAGGTACAGAAAATAGAAGATATGATTAATACAACGTGAGCACAAAATAAGATGTGATTAAAAAGGAAGGCATGATTTCTTCTAATTTGGGGAAATATTGGGAAAGGCTTACTTACAGGTGATTCCTAAAATCTATTGTAAAATGAATAGTATTTTTTTCAGGCTCACAGATGAGAAATTATGTCTTATGCAAAGAGATGAATTAAGCAAAGGCAAAAACATTTGTTTGGGGCATATTAGAGATCCTGGAGGAAATGAGGTGTGGCTAGCAAATCAGTTTGTGATCGGAGATAAATTCATGGACAAGACCTAATGTGACTTTACAACCCCCCTTCATAGAAGACTTTGTAACTCTAGAGAAACAAGTTAGAAGAAATATGTGTTACACATCTGTCTTCTAATTTTCCAATCTCTCCTCCATCATCCTGACCAGTGACTTTCCTGAAGTATTACCTGATCGTGTAAAGAATAGTTTGTTTGGGCACACTAATAACATTAAACTGCCCTACTTCCAACATTGATGCAATTTTGCCATACATCCTTCAAATGTTTAATGTAGTGACTCTCTCTCTCATGAATTAGGGAGAGCATGTGCAATTATCTCATGGTCACTTACCTGTATACTTACATGGGCATAGTTACATGTTGAAAATATTTACTGTGAAAGCAAATAATTAAACAGAGAAATGCTCCAAAGTAAGTACTTCACCAAAAAAATAAATAAATAAAAGAAAGATATAACAAAATCTCTGTCAAGGATAAAAGAATAAGGGAATAACATTTAAAATTATTATGGACTTGTCCTATCCTCATCACTTTACCAAGTTAATTTAGTTGTCATGACAAATCTGTAAGGAGATTTTATTCCTGAATCTAAAATAAGAACCCTGCATAATGATCACCTGAATGCTTGCAGACATGCACACTATATCTGATAACTTATCCTCAGGAATTCTGATCCCATAGGCCTGTAGTGAGGACAGAAACTTGTATTAAACATACAACACAGATAATACCAATTCAGGTGATCTTGGCCTATATTTTGAGATAAACTGGATTAATTGACTTATCAATATCATCTAATAAGTAGTAGACTTCCATCTTAGTTTTGTATTTATCTTTTTTTAATTCATCATGATTCCAGAGAAGTAATATTTTCTCAGAATATTTCAGATGGTTTTATTTTTTATTTTTTGAAAGTTCAGATATTATTTATGAAACATGCTCCTTTATACAAAAGTAGACATGACAGAAGCTAAGATGGGGTCAGATGTTCTTTGTCACAAATGGAAAAATTTATCAAGGCTATTCTCAAATTAAAAACCTCTACCCCTATTTAAATGACTTAACTTCTCTGTTACAGATCTAGAGAAACTGGTATTTTTTTTTTCTACATTGGATGAGATATAGAAAAGCAGTCTTATTCCATGTCAAAAAGATTATAAGCAGTTTTCTATAGGATATTTTTCTGACACATATAAAAAGCAGAAAAATTTGGTTGTTCTTACTGTTGTTTTTTAATCATTTCTCACAGAATTTAAGTTTTTCTCACAAAAATTAAAATGGAAGTTATAGATCCCTGTAAAGCTAAACATCACTAAAACTTGATAGTAAGCAAAAATTTAATTTTACTATCAGTGCAATATGTCATTTATAATGATGTATTTGTAAAGTGAAAAAAGTCATGGGTTATATAAATTTATATATAAAATTATATAAATTTATATATAAAATATATATATAAATATATAATATATAAATTATATATATATATTGCTCTACTAATAACATGCTTTTTGACCAGGGCCAACTTTATTCAGTTCCACTAAGCTATTATTTCTTATCTATAAAATGTTTTAAAAATAAATTTATTACTCCTTTGAGGTAGTAAAGTAAGAACAAAATGCTTCTTTGGAGAGGATACTGAACTACAGAATCTACCAGTTTCTGTCAATTTCCCCTCTTCTTGATCTATGACAATGGGGAAATGTAAATGATGTACCTAGAAGGGAAAACTGGGGTGAAAACTGAAAGCAAAACTATATGTAGTCAAGAGTGGAAGATTAAACGTTAAAACCTTTTTGACCCGTATGTGTAAAATCCATACAAATTTAAAAGCATTACGTACTTTATTACTCATGGTAAATATCTTTTATTGATCAGATGAAATGTAAAGTTAAATGTATGCCAGAGAAAACTCAACAAGTAAGTTTTGTTTTGTTTTGTTTTGTTTTTCTCTAATGTCATTAAGTTGGATTGATATTCTTAGCAGTGGACTTTGGAAGACTCATTACAGATAAGCTTTCTTCTTCGGATCTCCAGTTAATAGGCATTTTGGCTTTGTAATCTGGATAAAGTAAATTATGTGTTTGATTTTTTCAATCCATAAGCATAGATTTGAATATAATTTAAATATATAAAATTACTTCTCTTGAGGTTTTTCATTTGTTTCATCTTATTGAAAAAAATCTCAGTACCCTCCTAAAGTCTCATTAAGTAGCTAATTAGAATTTTTAAGTCTTCTATATCTTATTCAACATATTTTTAGTAAAACAGTTTGCAATGTACTAAATACAAAAATATGTTTAAATTTATTTGCTCTTACTAAAGTGATCAAGACACTATATTTTAGAATGATGAGAATATGTTATTTGAAATAATCAGCAAATAAACTCTATATAATGGAATCTGAGATGAAATACCCAATGTTAAAAAATAAAAATGTAGCAACACCAGAATATTCACAAAGTTAGGTTAGCTGAATTTTTGTTTATTATCTTTGACCATTCTGATTCTGTTTATAGGAACTTATATGGAAATAATGCAAACTATGGGGAAAGGCATACGCATGTTGATTACGCTCTTATTTAAACCAACAATATAGAAATTGCTATTTAGAAATATAGAAATGAATCCTATGACTGGGGTAGTTATCAATTAATGACCATAATTGTAATCCATGTGGTCATATAAACACTTAAGAAATAGTAATTTTATAAAAGCAAGACTACATGTAAATAAGTATTATAACTATTCAAAATGCATGCATGTGAGTAAAAATTAGAATAAATTAACCACAAAAAGAAAGAAAAGTGGTTTTCAGGGAAGGAGGATTAGAGACAATTCCTCACTATAGTTTTATACCTTTAGTATATTTATTGTATTGCTTTGATAATTTAGAGGAAGAGAGAGATCCCTATTTTTCTAAATAAAAAATTCTACATTTTACAAATAGCAAGAAAACAATCTATTGAAAGATACATGAAAAAATGTATTTATTCTTAATCTCATATTATCTTTTCCAAATAAAAAAATGCACTGTAAGATTATTTGTAAGATTATCCATTGAAAAGATGAATGACCAGCCAATGTCCCCTCCCCATACCCACACACTAAAGATTGAGTCTTTGTTATCTCAAAAGAATATGCAAAAAATCATTTTCAAAGGTACATCTTGAGCTCCATTTCCAGATATGAGTGAAGTATAGGGAAAATTGAATTAAAACTCTTTTTATTGATTTTTGAACACAGTGAACACATAGATGTGGCAGAATGCAAGGAAAAAGAGATACCAGCAGAGAGCAGATGAACATAATCACCCACTCATTCACACTTCCAAGTATTCAACCAATACAAATTCGCACATCAGTGATAATTTAGTAAGACTGGAGATGAAATAAAGTATTGATCAATATCTATTCAGTTTTTATTGAGTTCCTACTTGACAGAATAACACTTTCGGTTTTTCTAACACTCTTGACAGTCCAACATACTGATTTTGTCTACTTATTTCTTCTGTTAATTATCTATTCAACAGATATTTAATCAGCACCAGCTATGTGTGAGGCACTGTTCTGAGTAATAGATATATTGCAGTGCAAAAGACAGGAATGGTATCTGTCCTCAAAGAGTTTATATTTTAATTGGAGAAGAATGAAAATGAATAACTGGTAAGTAATTAAATAAAATATACATGTTAGTTTATACCATATAGGACAGAGCATGATGAAAAGATTGTAAATGAAGTAGGTAGAGAGTCATCAGTTAATATTTCTCTGAGGAAATGGTAGTTGAGCTAAGACTGGAAGACTTTTCTGCAATTCTATAAAAAAATTAATCAAATAAAGCCATCTGGTCTTACAAAAGCATTTGAAATCACACATATTAAATATATAAGTAGTGAGTACTTCACTTAGAGGTCACTGCACAATATCGTCCAGGTCAGATAGGAATCTCACCTACCATTTTTATTGTGAAACGTTAGATAGGAATCACATAAAAGAAAAGTCGATTTTTTAAATCTATAGATAGTTATTTCCTGAATAAATACAAAGCAAATAGAATTTAAATATAGATTTGAAATTTCAAAACCAGATACCTACCACCAGCCAGAGTATGGTATTGCATTACTTGTCACTTTTGTCAGGTCTTAATTGATGGTCTTCTGGGGCCTACTCACATTTATGCCAGCAGGCCAAGTATTAATAATAAAAGTCAACTGATCTCTATTTCTTGAATCTGTTTGTGAATTTCAGATTTTTAAAATCCTTTTAACAATTGGGTGTCCTGGGGGTGAGATTAGGCTCCTCATAGAAGACTTGTCTTTAAATACTACCAAGAGACTCTATTATCCCTCTCTCACCCCATACACACATATTACTAATCTCTTACATGAAAGATGACTGGGGAATGACAGAAAGAAAGAAAATCCTTTGGCTTGCAAATTATCAACATAATAGACAAGGTGCCATTTCTTTTCTCCCCGCTAAAATCCAACTGAAGAGGGCTCCAAGTGTCTGTAACAATCTAGGGTATTTCACATTTTATTCTCTAGTATGACAGTTTTCTAAAAAGCAAATCTGTTGATCTGCTATGTGCTTATCCGAGCAAAGGAAAAGGTAGAGAGAGATAATGGGAAAATAGTTTGGATGGTAGATGAATAGTCTCAACTCCCATAGTTTGGAGTAACAGGGACAAGTGAATTTCTTGAGGGTTAAGTGGACCAAAGGAATCACACTGCAAGCATCATTTATTTTAAGGCATCGTTACATGTCTCCCAAAGACAACAAGCCCATCTCCTTCAGAGACCCAGGTCCAGATCCAAACTGAACACATGAAATAAGCAAACCCAGAGTTAAGTCAGCTCCAGGCCTTGGGAGGTTTCAACCTTATTGCATAGTCCTTCCTTCAAAGTCTTCTACTCCCCTGCACCACCAATGAGGCCAACTCCTAGCCTCTGAGCCACCAGGGAGCTTTATTTGTGGGGTAATTGATAGGGGTTCGAGTGTCACATAAGGAAGATACTCTGAACTCTATTGTTCCATAGAATACTGAAAATAATTCCCTCATTTATAATACTAATCAGCGATGACAGGTCTTCTCTTCTTCATCATAAATGCAGGTTTTGAAGTAGATTATCATCTCAGACAGCTACATACTCTAGTTTCCTTATGGGCTTCATTAAAGGCTACTGTCCTCACCTAGGATAGTATTTAAGATAGCTAGGTGGAGTTTGCAGTGAGCTAAGATCATGCCACTGCACTCCAGCCTGGGCAACAGAGCAAGACTCCACCTCAAAAAAACAAAAAGCAAAAGATAGCTATACTTGAATAATGTTGCCATTCCCCATCCTAGATTATTATCTGCCCAAAAGGGTCTTCAATAGCAAGAAGCCACAGGGGATACTACTGAAAGAGTACTACTAAATGAAGGAGTTAGAGGTGGTACTGTGTATCTCATCCTAAGACAGTGCAATGATAGCCCTTTGAAGAATCTACACAAAACAGTCATGAGAGAGCTGGTGTTTTGATGGTGCCATGCACAGACTTTGATGGCCAGGTGATAGACCAAGCAGCAACAATTGATAGATAAGCAATGAAATCACTAAATAGAGACATCTGTTTCATTTCTACTCCTGTCCCAGAGTAACCAGAAAATGAATCAGAGGAGTGGTGATGAGATATCCCAGTGGTCTTTCCAGTACTTCTTCTCATCTTTTGGCATCATGTTAGAGTGAGGTTTGGGAGGAGAATAAACACCCTATTATACCCCATTTCATTTCAGGGTCTTCAACTCCCAAGCCAGTGTATCGATGGACAAGAGAAGGAGTAAAGATTATACATGAAAGTGATTGTTTAAGTAGATTTACTTATTTATTTATTTATTTATTTATTTATTTATTTATTTATTTATTTTGAGACAGAGTCTCACTCTGTCTCCCAGGCTGGAGTGTAGTGGCGCTATCTCAGCTCACTGCAACCTGCACCTCATAGGTTCAAGCGATTCTCCCACCTTAGCCACCTGAGTAGCTGGAATTACAGGCAGCCGCCATCATACCTGGGTAATTTTTGTATTTTTAGTAGAGACAGGATTTCACCATGTTGGCCAAGCTGGTCTTGAACTACTTCAGGTGATCCACCTGCTTCAGCTTCCCAAAGTGCTGGGATTACAGGCATGAGCCACCACACCCAGCATTCAACTTATTTTTTGTGTCAAATGATTCAAAACTATATATGACAGCTTTTATATTTTTAGAAAACACAGGAAGTATTTCATTGAATGCTCCTCAATTGGTATCTAATTTTCCACATTTTTGTTTTCAAAAACGTCTAACCAGCTCTGATGCCAATCAGTTTCATGATATTCATAACAGACAAAATGTTTGGGAAGTTCCGAATGCCAAAATAATTATTTTAATTCTACACTATATAAAGCAGATGGTTTTATTCGTTTGTTCTAAAGCAGAGTGTTAAAAAGGAATTCTAGTAATTTCGTGAAGAAAATATTATTGTTTATATTTTTCATACCTGGAGTCTCGTTTTTTATAAGATTAATTTGTTTAAGTTATACTGTTGGAGAGTTACCTTCAGGTAATCATTCATTAGATGTGGCACTGGATATCACATTCCAACACTTTTCTCTGGCTGAAGTTTTCTCGCTTTTTTCCCTGTTGATTTACATTTCTAAACTCTTTCCATACCTCAGGGTCTGACTCAAAAGACACCTCATGCGTGAAGCCCACTTCCCTCATTTCTAGAACTATTCAGTTCTGACTCTGAACATCTCTACATCATTATATTGTCATTGAAATAATTAAATCCATAATATCAGTGATGATTAGAATTACCATTTTTTAATGTCTACTGTGATCATGGAAAATGTATATGATTTTCCTAAGTCTTAGTTTTCTTATTTGTAAAAAGAGGATGATAATATATCTACTTTATCTACTTCAAAAATTGTTATAATAAATTATGACAATATAGGTAAAGTACTAAGCATGGGGCAAAAAAAAAAAAAACAAGAATAGTAAACATAGAATGGATGTTACCAACTATTATAATGCAATGCTATATATATAAAACAATCAAATGTTTCCTTTTACTTTTACTAAATAACTGGACATTGTGATGCATTTTCTGTTTTTGTAAATTCCTTTTAGATATGCCTTTTCCTAAAAACCTTTCTGGAATTCACTGGTGGTTCAGCTACTAATATCTAATAGCTTTCAACTTCCTCAAACAGAAAATCTGATGTTTCTGTTCTTTAACAGAGATAGTAGATATGCATTAATTATTTTTTAAAAGCTAAAATAAATATGATTAGGTACCGATTGGATGATGCATGAGCCCTCTTATTAACAAAGTACCTAAGAATCAGTATAGATTTAGCATACAGTATCCTGGGGATAAAGTCCCCCGATCATCTTTCATGGGAAGAAAATATGTTTATCTATCTCGAAAGACATTTGAAAATGTTATACAAAATAATATCTACACAGTTTATAACTCCCTTTCTAGAACATGTTAGTTATCTGAAATATATTAGTTATTTTTAGAATCATTACTTGACAAAATATGGCAGCTCTGTGTACATTTTTGTTTTGTTTTGTTTTGTTTTGGCTGTAACAAAGGAAACACTTTGCATTACTCTTCTTCACACTAAGAAACCAAGTTTCAGGTTATCTTTAATTAGAAAAAGCTTTTTATTTTAAGAGAGAATTTATCATTCCTGAAGGCCAGCACAGCAGGGTTACTGGATGCAAGGTATAGCCAGCAGGACAAGATCTGAGAAGTCTGAGGGCAAAACCTCAGTAAAAACCAAAGGCCTTCATGGTCTTATGAGAAATTTGCAGTTCATATTTTGAAAAAGATATTGAAGAAACATCACTTACAGAAAATAGTCTATTTTTAAATAACTTTAAGTTCATAACTAAAACCAAGGACTTGCTGACAATGTAGGGAAAGCCTTGAATAAGAAAGCGATAGCCCAACTCATATCTAAGAGTTTGGGGAAAAGATTAATATGTGGCACTTAGATGAGGTTCAGCAAAAACTGAATAATAAAATAAGGTTTACTGTTGAGAACTTCAACCAGGTGAGAAAAGAAGTTATTCTCTTAGCCACAAACACCAATAATTCATAAAAACAACTTAAGAACTAAAACTTTAATTCTAGAATATAAATAATAGAGCATCAAAATAAATTATTTTTAGTTTGTATTAAAGTACTTAAGGTAATGGCATTAATGATTTTAATACTATATTCTTAGTATGCTATTCTATATGCTATAATACAATAATATTAATTGTTATCATTGCCATTTGTTGATTTCCTACTTTGTCCAGGAACTGTATCAGCCCTTTACTATGGGTATTATAACTCCTTACAGATGATGGAATTAAGAGTAAGGGAATAATTTGCTGAAAGTCTCATTGATCTTAAATTGTCAGAGTAGGTAGCTAGTCAGGCATGAGCAGGGCAGGAGAGGGCTCTCCCCACCACCAGGAATGTCAGGTGACAATCAGGTGGTGGTCAGGCAGTTGTCACACTGCCTCTCCAAAGTAATAATTGGTCACAGCCAGAGCCAGGGAAAGGCAGTCTCCCAATAAACAGAAACATCTGAAACTGGTGATCAGCAGCTTCCCAATAAGATACCAGGAGTTGGGCAAGTGGGCTAAAGCATGATCATTAAGAGACAAAATGGCAGAGTTTAACTGGCCTATGGGCTTCTAGGAACATTTGGCTGGTAAGGAGAAAACGCCTCAAGTGAGCATGCATACAACTCTAGTCAACACACTGTGGATGTGGACAGCCCACCCCAAGGGAAGAATTAGGGGAGAAGGGATGCAAGACCCCGGAAGTATGCCAACATATAAACACTTAAGTCAAAAGTCAAATGGGGCATTCGATCTCTCAAGTCGCATGCTTGGCCCTCTTCCAGGTGTCCTTTACTTCCTTTCATTCCTGCTCTAAAGTTTTTAAATAAACTTCCACTCTTGCTCTAAAATTTGCCTTAGTCTCTCACTTTGCCTTATACCCCTCAGTCAAATTCTTTCTTCTGAGGGGGTAAGAATTGAGGTTGCTGTAGACCCCACACAGATTCACTGCCAGTAACACGATATCTACTTGATCCATTCATAAAGCTTCATGTTTGAAAATAATTTTCAGAGAGACACATGGGCTGGATAAAATCAACATAACTCTTTTTTTTTTTTTTTTTTTTTTTTTTCAGACGGAGCCTCCCTCTGTCGCCCAGGCTGGAGTGCAGTGGCGCGATCTCGGCTCACTGCAAGCGCCGCCTCCCGGGTTCATGCCATTCTCCGGCCTCAGCCTCCCAAGTGGCTGAGACTACAGGCGCCCGCCACCAAGCCTGGCTAATTTTTTGTATTTTTATTAACCAGGATGGTCTCTATCTCCTGACCTCGTGATCCGCCCGTCTCGGCCTCCCGAAGTGCTGGGATTACAGGCGTGAGCCACCTCGCCCAGCCAAATCAACACAACTCTTATGAAAAATAATTGGTTATTCAAAATCAGCAAAACTGGGGAAGGCAAAGTTTCTTACAAAATTCTATTTTTACAAAGTTTATATCTGTGCTGATTTTCTAAACATTTCACTTTGACTGGGGAGCATTTATTTTGACAAGTTTTCTTTACATCTTTAGTTCTTAATGAATATATACTGAATAAATAAAGTGTTACTGAATTTTTGGAGATTTCTAGAAGAGTGTGTATGTCTATACCAATTCTATGTGAAATATATAAAATCTACCACAAACATATTTATTAAAATTGAAGGCTCATATCTATTTGTGTGGTAATAATAATGTAGAGACTGATGGTAAAACAAGAAATTATTTTCTTACTTATAAATGAGTAAGTTCTCTAGTATTTAAACAAAAGGCATACTTTATTTTAATCACATATTTAATTAGGAGCTACTAAAATATGGGCTATTTCCTAGGGATATATATATAATTTATTGGTCTAGAAATGTAAAAAGAAAAAAAAAAGCTTGGTTAATTAGCATAGTTTATTATTGTCCCTAATACAATGGCAGTAGAATAAAATTACCATTGAGTAGATAATTTCCACCTCAGGCCATCTGCAGATGTGGCTCCATTAATACAAAATTTATGAGTGATAAATCATTGTTTTTCTAAAGGGAAGTTGAAGGTTAGATCATTACCTAGATATTAGTTTATCATTTTTGGTATTTTTAGACACTTGCTATTATGTCTATTCTAGATTAATAATAATGTAACTGTCCCTTAAAATATATTTCTACTAACATTAATATGTGTGAGAAAAATGTACACTGATAACATTTATCATTTTTTTTTCTGGTAAACAAGCCTCAATTGTAGAATAAAAAATTGGAGCTTTAAATGTTAAAGTATAAAAAAATTTGCTCCTACCTCAAAATTGAATAAAGCATTTTATTTGGCATAATCTAATAAATAGATTGATTTAACTGATAAACACAGTTTTTTTAGTACCTATTAAAACAAAGATTAGGAACGAAGAAGATAAATTACTTATGTGTGTACCTATTAAGTCAGTTTTTGCTAATGTATAAACTGCTGGTAGCCTGCTAAGGAAAATAAACGTTATTGAAGAAGACACCTTAAACGAGAATTGAGATCTGTAACTTAGCATAAAGCTTTTTCTACCCAAAGAGACATTCACAGATATTAATTTTTGCCATCGTCTTGTCTATTAGGGCACAGATTTAACCAGACACACTAACTTCTTGCCCTTGTGAATACAATGCCAAAATTATCATAAATGTACAATATAGATTATTTGATAAAGTTATGAGCTCCTATTAATACACACATAGGAAAAAGCAAAATGAATAAAAACAGTCAAGTAAATGGACTCAATCAACACCATTTTAACCACAATAACTACGTACACTAAAATTGTCAATTAACTGGAAAGAATCTTGTCTTTACAAGGGAAACCATATTTCAGGGTTACTAAATAGGCTTAGTTGATGAATAAAAGTATTTCTTTATAAAATCATCCTAAATAATAAATACAAAAATATAATAAAAGTAGAAGATCAATATTTTACAATCACTAGTAAACTAGTAGGTTTAGTAATGCCTATCGATGGATGCATCCAATAAATGAAAGGTGAATGGAAAATCTTACAATTGGCAGAAATGGATGTCACCCTTTGAACTCACTAAGTAACTTAAACCTTACTAAAAGTGGGACAGCCAGACTTTGTATATTCTTGACGTAATTCAATATGAAGTATACAGTATCACTTATGAATTATTCTTGGCTAGAGGAACCTAAACCTAATTAGGCCTTTAAAACAAATGCCCACGCTTGTAGAGATGTATACTGTAATAAGTATCTAACAGTAAAATGACATGACTTAATACTTGGTATTTGTTGCAAAACAATTCAGTAAGAAGGAAGTAAAGAGGAGGGTGAAGAGTTAAAACAGATGAAGCAACAGTCTTATCGAATTTAGGTGACAGGCATTTTAGAGTTTATTGTATTAGTCTCTCTAATTTACAGTATGTTTGAGATACTTTACCATTAAAAATATCTAGTGAGAACACAGAATAAAGGAAGCCATTTTGTGTCACAAAGAACAGGTGGAATATGAGGTTCCTTTTAGAAATAATGCCTGTGAGATTTCAGTAGAATACTTAGGTAATGTCAAGTGAAAAAAATGTAAAAGTCCAACTGAAATTTATCAGTAAATTTCAATTCTGGTCAAAACTGAAGTTAAATAAAATAGAATGAAATAAAACCTTGTAGGTGGTAAGCATTGTGCTAAGTCTTGAAAACCCAATAAAATGACTATTACTTGGTTTCTACCCATGGAAAATGTATAATCTAAAAGTTTCCTTGGAATGCAGAGATAAAGATTTGAGAGCCTTTATCACAGAAGTTGTAGCTAAGAACTTTCTAGTCTTGTGTTGGTTTGTTTTTACATTTCACTGACTCTATGAGACAAATAATTATTTCAAAAATTACTTAGAATATTATTTTATGCATTTGCCTTATTAGGCACTTTATGTAATTATCCACTTTACAAAGTTATACCTTTCTAATTTAGTTTTCTTTTTTATTCAGTGGTCAAAGAATGCTTAGCTATTATAATACTTCAATGATAATAATCTCATCTCTCACATCACTTAACTATGCAGGTGTAAAATGAACTCGTGGTTTTCAGAAATAGACTTCACAATTTTCTTATTAAACAGAATAAAAAAATGGAATAAAAGTCTAAAGTAATAAAGGATAATAAAAATCAATCTTCCACTTTTAAGAATGCATTTTATTACACTTTTAGATATGGAAAGCTGTCTGACACTTAGGCACCTAATCAAACTGCAAACTTCAGGATCTGCATTGGTAGCAAGATAAACTTGGCCATTGCATCACCATTATAATAATTGCAGAAAGTGGATTTCTGAGTGACACTTCATAAAGGACCACGACTAGATTGGAATGGAAGGCAGTAACCATAAAATGGTATTCATGACCACATTTTAAGTGCTGAAGTCATATCAGAGAAAATATCATGGAGAAAAGAGAATGAATAATTATTTTCATATGTATTGAGGTTTCTCCAAAATATTTAAATAAAACTATTCAAAATATAAGCAAATCAATAATCATTAAATGCAGACAATAAAGACTCAAGAGACAGCAATTTTAAAGTAATAATCTATATTTCTACTTCAAAATATTCTGTAAGTTTAAGCAGCATTATACTGAATGACCTTTGTATCATGTAACATTATATAATACCTTTTTAATTCAAATTAAAGGCCAGACATGGTGGCTCAAGCCTGTTATCCCAGCACTTTGGGAGGCTAAGACAGGTGGATTGCTTGGACCCGGGAATTTGAGACCAGCCTGGGCAACATGGCAAAACCCTGTTTATACAAAAAATACAAAAATTAGCTAGGTGTGGTGGCACCCTCCTGTAGTCCCAGCTATTTCAGAGGCTAAGACGAGAGAGTTTTTTGAGCCTGGGAAGTCAAGGCTTCAGTGACCCAAGATCACACTATTGCACTCCAGCCTGGGTCACAGAGTGAGACTCTGTCACAAACAAACAAACAAAACTTAAATAGAAAGCACACACACACACACACACACACACACACACACACTAAAATTTGTTATTAACATAAAAAGTGAACATTCCCACAGAAGTGTAAAATATGCCATAACCACTTAATAACGGGGAATAGAAAATGCCATCCACTGAGTGACTATATTTTAAGTCATGTATTTTAAGCCATTCAAAACATTAGCAACATTTATAACTAACTTCAAAGTAAATTTTTCTGCCACAAAGTGCCCTGCATTTGAATTACATATGCACTCTAGGGTTGTTGTTGCTGTTGTTTTTAAATTCATGCTAAATGTTTTACCCAATTCTGTAGTAGAACTACTCAAGACTACTGTTATATGGTAATGGAGATTCTCGTAAGTTGTTAAGAGCATTGCATGTGTTTATAAAACTGCATTTACAGAATTTTATTTCCCAAATTGATCTCTCTAGAACATTTTTCTGTAAAGTGTCACATAATAACTATCGTAGGCTTTGTGGCCATATAATTTATGTCATAACTAGTTCTAGTTCTGTCACAACTCAACCCTGCCATTGTAGGGTATATAGAAACAGATACATGAATTAGAGTGCCCGTGCTGCAGTAAGACTTTATTTAGAATAAGCAGAAGCCTGGATTTGCCCAGCTGGTTGTAGGTTGCCAATTCTGCTCCAGAATAAAGAAGAGTCGTAGGATGAGGCCATGAATATGAAATACTTAAAGTTCTTCCCATGATGGAAGCTGCTTAAAACAATCAGTTTCAAAGAAGTGAAATCACAAGGATTTCACAATTATTTACAGATGCTTTGATGCACAGCATAAAAAACTTTTACTATATTTAGGAAATAGAGTATAAAACTTAAAATCAGACAGAACCATGTTTTTGTATACAGAACTATGTTTGTATGTGTGTGTATGTGCTAAAACTCCTTTGGGCCATCATTGTATTAGTGACATTCACATTTGTTTTTCAGGTAACCATATACCTGATTTAAATTCCAAATTTATTTGGTCAAACATACAGTACCTAGTGGACGTCTGGTAGTTCCACAAGGCAAGAAAAGCTGTAGTATAACTGAATACTACTTTACCTTGACCCTGGATTGTCTGACTGGAATGATAACTGCCAATGGCATCTCTCTTAAAAATAGAGTCCTGCCAAGGTAGGAAAGAACAGCAAAGTCTTGCCATAGATAATATCTCTTATGCATTAAGTGTCTGTTGCAATTACCCCAAAACTAATATCATCATCCATATACTTATTTTTAAGTAATTATTACTTATTTTTAAGTAATTATGTATAAATGTTAGGGATCTCCTGGTTCTTGATGGAATTTCATAATCAGTAAGATATACATGGGAAAGAAAATTATTGTGGCACCCTGCTCTCACTGAAAAAATCATTTCTAGATTTTTCGTGGCTGGGAAACCCTGTCAATTTTTATTATTGTCATTTATTTTAAAATTGTACATGCATAGAGAAAATAAGTTTGAAAATAAAAATGCACGAGAAAGAAATGATCAAAAGAAAATCTTAGAAGGGAAAATGAAATAGAAAGATTATAACATAATATTTTCTCAACAAGTATTTACTAAACACCAAAAAAATTGCATAAAAGAAGCTAGAAAACAAACTTCGGAGGTAATACTATCACCTTTCACTTAATTCATACTATCTCTAGTTTTCTTTAAGAGCTCCCACCTATATGCTCAGATTTGTCATAATTTCTGAGCCAATTCTGCTAAAACCAGGAAATATTTAGGCTCTCCTAATCCAATATGGGATAGTATTAAATAAACCTCTGAGAAGAGGGCTTCCAGTGAGCAACAATGAGGTCTTGGGTTACATACAGTTTGTATGATCAAAGACATCCTACGTTCTGATAAGAGGGTTACTGCACCCAAATTCTTTGGTTTATTTTTTTCAATTTGTGACCATATATATATGGTATATATATGCACTGACTCTTTTTGAACTCTCTTAGACATTGTGTCATTTTTGTAAAACTGACTCCTTTTTTTTTCTTCAAACTTGTAATGCAGGAGAAATTCCTGAGTTAGGAGTCAGGTCAACGACAGCATTAACTCTTGTTCCACTTCTCTCATGTCAAATTTACCAAAAGATTTTAGGTTGAATAGAGAAAGACAAAACTTGAGATGATGTCCTTTGGTGAGTTAAATTTATATATTTTTGTCTATCATTTCCTGAGTTAGGAATAATTTGATTGAAATCTTATGATTGCAACTGAAAAAAATGCAACTTAGGCATAAGAGGAATTTATTGGAAGGTAATAGGAATTGCTCAAATAATTAAAATGAGAGCTTTGAAAATAAAGACGAGGATTATGAGTGCTTGGATAAGTGTATAAGTAACTATTATTTCACATTACAGTTAGATCAATGACATAATAATGGTCTCGTGGATTGAAGTCAAGAGCAATTATGCTAACATGTAAGTGGAAGAAGAATTTGTAGAAGTGAGATGGGCCTTAACAAATGGGTTTTTCGTAGACGAAGACTATATATTCATAATAAATGTCTGTGTTTGGAAAGGTAAAGATACAAATAGTCATGTTTCTCTACATTGTTTATTATTTGAACAAGTGAAAGGCATACCTAGAAATATGGGTTGAATCTTATAGAAGACCTAATGAACCTGAACTGATAATTCTGTTTTAAATTTACTAATCAATGATGATCCACTGATTATTACTCAAGAGATATTTTTCATTATGAGAGATTATCTAACCAAGACGCTATTTCAGGCCACTGTAAATGTGACAGTTTGGAGTAGAGAGAGAGAGATGACAGGACAACCAGCTGCAGAGTTACTGCAACACTTCAAGCAGGAATGGAGGCCAAACTTGGGCGTTGTCACTGGAATTTTTAAGATGCAAAGATAATTTGATGCCTGACTGAAAGTTGCTGAGTAAAGAAAAATGAAAAGAGGAAGATCAAAGATGATTCTAGAGTGGGTGAATGAAGAAATTGTTCTATAAACAGGAAATCATGAGTGATAAGCTGGTTCTATTAGATAAATTTGATGAGTTTTGGAGAGCCTATGTTGAGTGTCACTGGCAATCCGGTTGAAACTGGAAAGGACTATGAAGTCTAGGTATAATATTATAAAACTTTGACATTGCATACAGCCAGCAGTTTGGGAGGAAGAGCATGGAAGAGTCATTATTTATCAATGGCCAATATTCTAATTTCCTTCACCAGCTACCACCTCTTAAGTTACAGAATATAGGCTACAGAAGAAATGCAAGAAAGAAAATAAAATAAGAAATAACAAAATTAGGCAAACAAACAAGTAAATTCAGCAGCAAAGTTTTGAACTTTACATATATAATGTAATTATACTCAATTAGATTTTAAAATATGCAATGAAAGGGGCAATATTTTATATAATTTCTGTATTTCCTTATAATACCTAATGTATCTTTATACTAAATACGTACTTTGTAAGAATCTAATGAATTAAGGAAGTGCAATTACATGTACTTTTATTAATAAATACAGATAATAGTGACAAGTCAGCTTGTGATAAATAGTGTAATAAAAAAGATAATTATTTCTAACATTATTGTAACAATAATATTTGTAAATACATTAGTGACTTTTCTAATACATCAACAATTTGAAGTTACTAATATAATAAAGCCTATAATATCCAAAGCAATTAGTATTCTTATTAATTAGCTACTGGTGCAATAAAATTTCTAAGAAAGAAACATAATTAAATTGAAAGTATTCTATTATTTTAAAGGATTTTAAAACTAAAGTATCTTCGTAGCTTTACCAGACTAAACAGATGCTTTCTCACATTTAATTCAAAATTAAATCAGATTTACTTCCATTTGGCTAATTTAAGGTTTTGTTTTCAAAACAGCTACAATAATTATCCTATATCTTCATCACCTGGCACAGTGATTAGCATATCATAGATAATGCTAAACAAATTCTATTGCAAAAACGAATGAGTAAAGCAATAGAGAAATCAATCAACTAATTTCTCAATATTAAAATGTATTATCTACTGTATTTTTACAATATGTCACACCTAGTGCTAAATAAAAGCTTTACTTAATTATCATTAATTTTCACATGATTGTGTGAAATAAAAATCTCTCAAATAATGAAGAGAAATTAGGGATGATTATGGAATTTTCTTGTAAGGTCTTAAAAGTAACATGAGTGTGTGTGGTATGAGAACCCTGTTCATTTCTTCTCAAAACCCTTTGCTATAAAGTGCTACCTTATACCACCTTTTTCTTTCTCTCTCAAAGTATTTCTCCTCATTTGCTCTTCACTTATTTTCTGAAGAATCATGCTTAGATGTCTAGATTTAAATTGTTAGTCTAATGTAAAAATTTATAATCATGTTTTTATTTTAGTATTTCCTCCTCATCAAGTCATGTGATCAGTTAATGTTAGGTGGATCATTGTTATTCAAAACAATGAGATTGAGCAAGTCAATCAAGCTTTCTGAGGCTGAACTTTTCCACTGGTAAATCTGAAGTATAGTTGTTCAATCCATGCTCCCATGATCCCAGACTCAATTGTAATTCACCAGCATGAAAAAATACCAGAAAGGTGAAATATTGTTTAATAAAAACTCTTACTATGTTAATTTAATAGGCTTTACTATAAGCTCAAATACACTGATTAAATCATACTAACTATAAATAGAGGCATACCTCATTTTATTGCACTCTGGTTTATTATGCTTCACAGACACTGCATTTTTTATGAATTGAAGGTGTGTGGCAACCCTGCATCTAGCAAGTCTATCCGTGCTATTTTTTTAAATCAACATATGTTTATTTCTCTGTGCCACATGTTGCTGATTCTCATATTTCAAAAACTTTTTATTATTATTATATCTGTTATGATAATCTATGATGTGATCATTTATGTTACTATTATAATTGTCTTGAGATGCTGCTAACCATGCCCATACAAGACAGTAAGCTTACTCACAAATGTTGTGTGTGTTCCAGCTGCTCCATCTACCAGACTTTCTTCCTTTTCTCTCCTTCTCCTCAGGCCTCCCTATTCCCTGAAACACAACAATATTTAAAAAGGCTTAGTGAGGAAGCCATATGGAAAGTTGAGAGATAGGCTGAAAGCTAAGATTTTTGCTCCAAACAGCCAAGTTGTGGATGCAAATAAAATGTTCATGAAATGATATTCCAGTGAACATACAAACTGTAAGAAAGCAAGACACCCTTATTGCTGATAAGGAGAAAGTTTTAGTGGCTTGGATAGAAGATCAAACCAGCCAAAACATTTCCTTAAGTCAAAGACTAATCTAGAGCAAGGTCCCAACTCTCTTCAATTCTGTGAAGGCTGGTAGATGTGAGGATGCTGCAGAAGAAAAGTTTGAAGCTAGCAGAGGCTGCTTCATGAGGTTTAAGAAAAGAAGCCATCCCCATAACATAAAGTACAAGGTGAAGCACTAAGTGCTAGTGTAGAAGCTGCAGCAAGTTTTCTAGAACAGTGGTCCCCAACCTTTTTAGCACCAGGGACTGGTTTTGTAGAAGACAATTTTTCCACGAACAGGGTAGGTGGAGGGGGGATGTCTTCAGGATAAAACTGTTCCACCTCAGATCATCAGGCATTAGTTAGATTCTCATAAGGAGTGTGCACAACTAGATCCCTTGCATGTGCAGTTCACAATAGGGGTTGCACTCTTATGAGAATCTAATGCCATTGCTGATCTGACAGGAGGCAGAACTCAGGTGATAATGCTCTCTTGCCTGCTGCTTAGCTCCTGCTGTGCTGACCAGTTCCTAAAAGGCCACGGACTTGGTCCAGGGTGCAGGGGTTGGGGACCCCTGGTCTAGAGGATCTAACATAATTGATGAAGGTGGCTGCACTAAAAAACTTATTTTCAATGTAGACAAAATAGCCTTCTTTTGGGAGAAGATGACATCTAGGGTTTTCATAGCTAGAGAGGAGAAATTGATACCTAGATTCAAAGTTTTAAAAAACAAAATGAGTCTTCTGTTCAGGGCTAAAGCAGCTGGTGAATTTAAGTTGAAACCAATGCTCATTCACCATTCCAAAAGTCTTATGGCCCTTAAGAATTATGCTAGATGCACTCTACCTGTGCTTTATAAATGGAGCAACAAAATATGCTGATAGCATGTCTATTTATAGCATGGTGTACTGAAGATTTTAAGCCCACTGTTGAGACCTATTGCTTAGAAAAAAAATTATTTCAAAATATTACTGCTCATTGACAATGTACCTTGTTAACCAAAAACTCTGATACAAATGTACCAGGAAATTAATGTTGTTTTCATGTCTGTCAACACAACATCCATTCTGCAGCTATGGATCAAGTAAGTTGGATTTTCAAGTCTTATTATTTAAGAAATACATTTCATAAGACTACAGTTATTGTAGGTAGTGATTTCTCTGATGGATCTGGGCAAAATAAATTGAAAACCTTCTGGAAAGTATTCACCATTCTAAAGTCCATTAACAACATTTGTGATTGATGAGAGGAGATCAAAATAGCAACATTAACAAGAGTTTGAAAGAAGTTGATGTCAAGCTTCATGGATGACTTTGATGTGTTCAAGGCATCAGTGGAGGAAGGAACTGCAGAGGACGTGGGAACAGCAAGAGAACTAGAATTAGGAGTGAGGTCTGATGAGGTGACTGAATTATTGCAATCTTATGATAAAACTCAGACAGATGAGAAGTTTCCTCTTATGGGTGAGCAAAGGAAGTAGTTTCTTTAGACAAAATCCATCCGTGGTGAAGATGCTGTGAACATTGTTGAAATAACAATGAAGGATTTATAATACATAAATTTGGTAAAGCAACAGCAGGATTTGAGAGAATTTTCTCCAATTTGAGAAAAGGTCTACTGTTGTTGCTGGACTTTTCCTTAGTTTAGCTAAAGATGGGGTCCTTGTCACATGGCCACAAAAATTCAGGCTCATAGATAATTTGAAGGGTGAGTAAGGCAGAATTTTATTTGGTTAAAAGGGAAAAAATAAAACAAAAAAAAAAAAACAGGGACCCTCCACAAAGACAGAGTCCCTGCTGGTGTGCTTCCCACCCTGCAGTTTGAATCCCAGGTACCACCCAGGAAGAGGAGGGGCCAGGTTCCTTCCCCCTGCAAATGGCATGAACTTCTGTGGCTCCACCTGTGTGCAGGCCATCGGAGGTTCTGCCAGGGAGCCCTTCCCACCTGGCTGTCTCACTTGTCCCTCTAAAGAAGTACATCTAACTGCCATTAGAGTAAGGATAAGAATAAGAACAAAGACAAATCTTAACTGTTTCCTGCTGATAGAGGACACTGTTTTGGGGAAAGACAGTCAGATTGTGTCCAGAATTGGTGGGTTCTTGATCTCACTGACTTCAAGAACGAAGCCGCAGACCCTCGCGGTGAGTGTTACAGTTCTTAAAGGTGGCGTGTTCGGAGTTTGCTCCTTCTGATGTTTGGATGTGTTCGGAGTTTCTTCCTTCTGGTAGGTTCATGGTCTCGCTGGCTCAGGAGTGAAGCTGCAGGCCTTCGCGGTGAGTGTTACAGCTCTTAAGGCGGTGCATCTGGAGGTGTTCGTTCCTCCCGGTGGGTTCGTGGTCTCGCTGGCTTCAGGAGTGAAGCTGCAGACCTTCCTGGTGAGTGTTGCAGCTCATAAAGGCAGTGTGGACCCAAAGAGTGAGCAGCAGCAAGATTTATGGCAAACAGCAGAAGAACAAAGCTTCCACAGTGTGGAAGGGGACCCCAGCGGGTTGCCACTGCTGGCTCGGGCAGCCTGCTTTTATTCGCTTATCTGGCCCACCCACATCCTGCTGATTGGTCCATTTTACAGAGCCAATTGGTCTGTTTTGACAGGGTGCTGACTGGTGCGTTTACAATCCCTGAGCTAGACACAAAAGTTCTCCACCTCCCCACTAGATTAGCTAGATGCAGGGTGTCCACACAAAGATTCTCCACATCCCCACCAGAGTAGCTAGATACAGGGTGTCAATTGGTGCATTCACAAACCCTGAGCTAGACACATGGTGCTGACTGGTGTGTTTACAAACCTTGAGCTAGATACAGAGTGCCAGTTGGTGTATTTATAATCCCTTAGCTAGACATAAAGGTTCTCCAAGTCCCCACCAGAGTAGCTAGATACAGAGTGTCCATTGGTGTGTTTACATACCTTGAGCTAGATACAGAGGGCTGACTGGTGCATTTACAATCCCTTAGCTAGACATAAAGATTCTCCAAGCCCCCACCAGACTCAGGAGCCCAGCTGGCTTCACCCAGTGGATCCTGCACCCGGGCAGCAGGTGGAGCTGTCTGCCAGTCCCCCGCCGTGTGCCCGCGCTCCTCACTCAGCCCTTGGGTGGTCGATGGGACTGGGCGCCCTGGAGCAGGGGGCGGCGCTCGTCGGGGAGGCTCGCAGTGGAGGGGCGGGGGAAGCTCAGGCATGGCGGGCTGCAGGTCCGGAGCCCTGCCCGGCGGGGAGGCAGCTAAGGCCCAGTGAGAAGTGGAGCACAGCAGCTGCTGGCCCAGGTTCTAAGCCCCTCACTGCCCGTGGCGGCGGGCCGGCTGGCCAATCCGAGTGCGGGGCCCGCCCCAGCCCACGCCCACCCGGAACTGGTGCTGGCCGGGAAGGGCCTTGCGCAGCCCGGGTTCCCGCCCGTTCCTCTCTCTCCACACCTGCCCGCAAGCTGAAGGAGCCAGCTCCAGTCTCAGCCAGCCCAGGAAGCGGCTCCCACAGTGCAGCGGCGGGCTGAAGCGCTCCTCAAGTGCCGCCAAAGTGGGAGCCCAGGCAGAGGAGGCGCCGAGAGCGGGCGAGGGCCGCAAGGGCTGCCAGCATGCTGTCATCTCTCAAGAGCTCCCTCAGAGGCCTATGTAAGGTAAGAGTTGTGGCAGAACAGGCCATTGTGTGAGGCTCCAGCTGCATGACCTTTTTGAGTTTGATAGCCTGAAGGCAAGAAGAGACAAACCAGGGTATTAGAAAACATGTATCAAAATGAAACACAGGGAGGGGTAAGGACAGCTCAGAAATGCCTAGGGCTTTTACCAGTTTGCACAGAGAGGCCAAAAGCCTGACTGGTAAAAAACTTTACCCTTTTGTTGGCAAGTTGGGCTTCTGGGTTCCCTTCCCCTGAGTCCAATCCTAAGCCAACAGTTTAAGGTTTGGGAAATTAACTATTTCCAGTTCGGAGGATGCATCTGAGGGGACTGTCCTGTAGTATGGAGATACAGTTACCTATCTGTGAAGAGAAGACAGAGGAGGAGAGAAGAAAAAAGAAGGCATTTTTCAAATGAGTCCCAGGAGTTCATGATGCATTCGAAAGGGGTACAGACTGAAGATGAATGGCTATCCACCTAGAAAGAGGGGAGCAGGCATCCCTGGTTCTCTTACTAGTAGATACCCAGGGTACGTGAGGGAGAAGGGGAAGAACATTCTCTTTCTCTCTTCCATCCTTGAATCCCTGAGTCCCAGCAACCTTGGCAGGTGCCACCATGAGTACCAAAGTGGCTTGTGCCCATGAAGCAGCAGGGCCTAGGAAGTGGTGCAAGGTGAAGCAGTAACTGCTAGTGTAGAACTGCAGCAATTATAGGGGGTGGGAATTAACCACTCTATCCATGTACGCCCTATCTCCCCTGCTGTCAGTAGCCTTGAATTTCCTAGACCTCATTTATGCCATGGATACTAGCGTGGCCTTTATCCATGAAACGGGAAGCTTGGGCTTGGCTTAATCAACAGGAATCAGCCACGTTCACCTGTGCTGCGCCTTTTACCTTCCATTATCATTTGCTTCTGGATCCCTTAGATTCGGTTTTCTTCCTACAGCTTTGACCTGAAGCTTGGAATTGAATTTGGGACAAAAATGTGTCTCGCGGGGGGTTGTACAGACTCCTTACCATAAGCTGAATGTTAAGGTGAAACTGTGAAACTGAGCACTCTTCCAACAAGGGAGATAAAAGGATGTCTTGTGACACACCCAGATAACTGGTGGCTATAGTTATGCTTGCTATGATTTAAGCGCAGGGTGCTTGGCTTTTGTTAGCTCTCTTGGTCTTACTTTCCCAAAAGGAAACCTCTGAGTGATGGGGCATTCTACTTATTTCCATTACCTGGCAGCATTTGCAGGATTATTGCTCACAACTAGAATATTCACTTTATTGTAGTGGTCTGAAACCAAATCTGTAATATCTCTGAAGTAAGCTTATGGGTATATACACACACATGTGCACACACACACATGCACATACATGTATGTATATATACATACGCATATACACATATGTATGTATATGTGCTTCATGTATTTTAACTTCTATAATTTCATAAATATGCTTGTTTATTCCTTCATATTTTTCTTTTTTATTTAAAACATACACTTTGTTTTGCCAAACTTACAGATTCTTACTATGCCTTTCTCTTTAAAATCTCTGACATGTGTATCTTTGCTTCTCACATTTGTTGCTAAGAAAGTATGCCAATATTATCTTTTGAATGACCTAATAAGTACAAACATGCTGATAAGTATTGTCAGTATCTGGCAATTCTGTCATGACTGATAAGGTATAAATCATAGCCTATATCAATGTGAGGGCAAAGCTCCGTGATAGAAAATTCATTCTGATATGTGTATTGGGTTTCTGAATAACAGAACTAAATTACCTCAGCAAGGAGCTTCAATGTAGTAGTGGATTTCGATTGGTCTGTGAGAGACGGTATCACCACCTTCATTATTAAATGGCTTAATAAGTCATATGAAGATAAAGGAAAAAAAGAGAAACTTTTGCTTTTTTAAAAAATCTGGACTGAAACTCTGTGTGGCTGAGACACACTGAAGTGTAGAAGAAAGAGCTGAGCATATCAATTGTTTACCAGTCTTTTCAGTGAATTTGAGCACTTCAGTAGCTTGTCATGTGATTTTAATTGGGAAAAGCACACAGAACATTTAAAAGTGTGTCCGAGGCCCTTCATCCTCAAACTATGAACACATACGTTTTTGTTCCGTGTCCCAGTGAAATCCCTTTCTCACTGTATTACAGAGGAACAATACTCAATACAAGTCCCATTCTGAATTTGGTGCCCCAAGAACAACAGGGCCTCTTTAGACTAAATCTTTTTATTATTTTACATGTTTTTATTAAGTGACTTTACCATCAATGTCTTTCATATAACATTTTCGGTAATACAATGATATTACCACCACCACATAACCATTTCATTTTAAAAATGCAGGATGTCAATGAATGCCATCAAAGCAATGAAGTTGACTAAAAGTCTACTTTTCATTTCAATTAAAAGGACTCTGTGTTCGTGTGTGTGCGTGCATATGCATGTGCACATGTGCGCGGGCGCATGTATTTGTGTATGTGTTTCTGTGTGTTTGGCTCCTCTCTGTTCTTTATCTCACAGAATTAAACAAAGAGAGAAATACTTTCAAATATAATACTTATCTGCTAAACATTTGAAGGTAAGTGACTTTGCCCTGTGGGCATAACCTCCTGTTGTCTACTGTTGTCTAGGGGCTACATGAATATAAAGCAACAATGTTAGTTTCAGGATATTCTGTTTTCACTTGGAGCAAACCAAATTACCTTAAGGGAACTTGCTTACTCATAAACATCCTTCCAGATGACCATTTCACTCTCCAAACGCATAAGGTTCAAACATAAAATGAAAGGGGAAGGTTTCGTTATCTCCTTCACTGGGTGTGTGATGGGGGTGTGGCTCGCTGCTTCCTGTCCCACTGCTCAAACCTCTGCGGGAAGCATGCAGACGGGCAGTTTGTGGGGCTCCAGCCCCACCGCAGTGTCTAGGGGTGAATGTTTACAGCTCCTGAAGCCCTTATTACAAAGACGGGGATTTCTGTATCCTAGGGTTCTTGCCTTGGTGTACAAAAAGAATTAGATCACACGTGGGCTTGAAGAATGAGTGCAAGGTTTTATTGAATGGAAGTAGCTCTCAGCAGATGGAGGAGCCAGAAGTGGGAGATGGTTTTCCCCTGGAGTTGGCTGCTCTGTGGCCTGGGCTCTCCTCCAACCACCCCAGCCAAACTCTGCGTTGTTGCGCTGGTCTCAGGTCTTTTGGCCGGCGGGTTCTGTCCGTGTACCGCTCTGCCGGCATGTTCCCCTCGCCGTCATCTGGATGTCCAGCCGCTTGTGTCTTCTGCTGATGTGTTCCTCTGGACATCCAGCCACTTGTGTGTGTGCGTGCTAATGCTAAGATTTCAGGGTTTTCATAGGCATAGGATGGGAGTGTGGTGGGCCAGGGTGGGCTTGGGAAATGCAACATTTGGGCATGAAGGCAGGAGTGCCTGTCCTCACCTAGGTCTGTGGGTAAGGCCTGGGGTTAGAGCCCTAGCCAGGGACCACACCCTCTTCTACCCAGCACTTCCCTGCACCCCTTCCTTATTAATAATAGTCAAACCCTTTAAATGCTAAGTGAAATGTGTATATTTACCAGGTGTTTCTCTGTGTTTGTGTGTATGTGTCTTCAATTTGCTTATTTTTTATGACAAGTCAGTTACTAAAAGGAGACTTAATCTAGTTTGCTTTTACATGTATTAATCTATTCACTCATCATGACCAAATTACACTTCTATTGCTAAATAATAATCTCTTAGAACTACAGTTTTTCTCCAAAGCCTGTGGCTGTGTTTTAGGGGCCTGTTTATAAAAATGAGATATAATTTTAAGAGAAAACAATATTGAAAGTACTAGCCTAACTACTGTGCAACTTTCTGTAAGTCTTTAGTTATTTTAAACTAAAATATTTTTTAAAAGGCTACCTTAATGAAATTACTACTTTAATTATTCCATTGTGATAATTTTTCACTTTAGTCAATCTATTCAATTATTTTATCTTTTTTTTTTCTTATGGAGCCTTGAAATGTATCTATAGCAGTTGTTAAACTGCAACTATTTCTTTTTGCTTTTTGAATTCCTGCCTCATTTCAAACACAAAAATAGTCACAATAATTAATATTTATATAGAACATTTACTGGTGACATTGCTTTAATATACTTTTTTTTCTTCATATGATTGTTTTAACAACTTACTGATCTATTTCACTGATGACAAAACTGAGACTAAAGTTAAAAAGGGTCATGTGCAAGGTCACATAACCAGTAAAATAAAGCAGCCAGGATTCAAATTTCTGTTTTCTAAATATACATCCTTTCTCTTTTTCTCTGCATCATAACTGAAGGGTCTGTAGTGATCATTAAGGTCAAACAGCTCATTATAATGATGAAAAAAAAGAGGTTCAGAGAGGTCAAGTGGCTTGCCACCAGGAGGCTTGAGGCATAGCATGAACACCAACTAGTTGCCTTCAAACCATTAATTGTAATAATTACTGGACTTGCAGCTTAGTTGCTATGTCCTAGCTCCTTTGATCTGAAAATAAACATGAATTAGTATGATGACAATGTAGCTATTTTTTTTTCTCCCCCTGCTGTTTCTTAGTCCATCTCCTCTCACATAACTTTAATTCTCTCCTTTATGGCTGAGAGTATAGCCTCTTAGCTTAAAGTCTCAGGAGATGTCTGTGGGACCAAAAGTCAAGGGATGCGGACAATTAAAAAAAAAAAAAAAAGCAGCCAGAATTTATTATTTTAAGAAGAAAAGTAAAAAAAAAAAAAATCCAGAAAGATAAGAGAGAAATACACCATAAGGTAAAAAGGATGAGGTTCTTGAATTTGGTAGTAATACAATCAGATTTAATCTTAGAAAAATTATTCTATCAGTGGAGTGTAGAAAAAAATTAAAATAACTGAAATGGGTAAAGAGTACAAGCTCCTCCACCTGTACTAACATCAAGGATGTAGTTGTCCCAATTAATATAGTAAAATGAAAATAAATAAGTATGCAACCTAGTAAACTGCAAATATATTTTGAGTAGTATTTACTAAGAACAGAGTTGGATGTCTTTCTGGTCCAAATTTGAAGAACATTTTAGTTGAATGCTTGATAATTATTCACACAAAGAACATTTATTTGCACTGAACTGTGCCCAGTAAAACCAAACACAGCCGTGAAAAGTAAAGGTTGAATTAATGTCAGTAACTTGAAAAATAATATGAACAGTAATTCAGCAGCATATATTTCTTTTTTAATGTGAATATTCATTTCACACTGTCTGCTACCCTATAGCTCATTATCTCACTTTTAGAATAGATGATTTTTATTGCAGGGTATTTTTCTAAATCCCCTGGAATACTGAGATATTTGGTAATTTTTAGCATGCATTTAAGTAAACTTCATGCTTATACATATTACTTGACTGAATCGGGGTCCTCAACCCCCAGGCCTCAGACCAGTATTGGTTCATGGCCTGTTAGGAACCGGGCCACATAGCAGGAGGTGAGCGGCAGGTGAGTGAGTGAAACTTCATCTGTATATACAGCCGCCCCCCAAGCCTCACATTACTTAATGCCTGAGTTCCACCTCCTGTCAGATCAGGGGCAGCATTAGATTTTCATAGGAGTGGGAACCTTATTGTTAACTGTGTGTCGAGGGATCTAGGTTATGTGCTCCTTATGAGAATCGAATGCCTGATAATCTGACACTGTCTCCCATCACCCTCAGATGTGACTGTCTAGTTGTAGGAAAACAAGCTCAGGGATCCCACTGATTCTACATTATGGTGAGTTGTATAATTATTTCATTATACATTACAATGGAATAATAGCAGAAATAAAGTGCACAATAAATATAATGTGCTTGAATCATCCCAAAACCATCCCCCGACCCAGGTCCATGGAAAACTCTCTTCCCCGAAGCCAGTCCCTGGTGTCAAAAAGGTTGGGGACTGCTGCTCTAGACAATGAATTAACATTAAGTGATTATTAAGAGCAATAAAAGTCACCAGTTATTTAGTACTACAGTAATACTGTGTAATAATACTATATAACACAATAACTGCCATAATTACTATATAATAATGTTATATAATATAATAATAATATTAAATGAATTACCCCCAAAATAAGTGGCTTAAAACAGTAAGTATTTACATAGCACTTTTGGATAGTAGGTCAATCATTTAGGATGAACTCAGTGGGACAGCTGTTCTGATCTCAAATGGGCCGCCTCACACATTTAGTGTTTCACTGTCTGTTTGGGTCTTTGTCATCTGGCTGTTGCCTGGGTTGTTATGGGTGACTAGGCCTCCTCCAGCATGCTGACCTGACAGTCGTCTCATGTTGAAGGAAGAATGATCAAGTAAACTAAAATATACAAAAACCTCTATTACTGAAGCTCAGAACCAGTGCACTGATCACTTCCAATACATCCTAGCAGCCAGTGTAAATTATAATGCCAGTACAGAGTGAAGGGATGGAAAAACAGATTCCACCTCTTTAGTGAGAAGTGGTGCAAGTTTTATGCTACAGGGAGGAGATTTAGTGCAATCTGTCATATACATATACATATACATATACATATACATATACATATACATACACATAATATATTCCAAGAAAGTATTTCAGTAAAATTAATTTTGACCTAGTGAAATAATTTATGGATTTTAATACTGTCATAAGTTAATACTGTTAAGAAAGTTTAATTTACATTAAAATTGCTTCACTGTTTATAAAAATTCATCGAATTAAAGATAAAGAATCTCTTGTCATGCTAATTTATATTACCAACTTTAAAAAGCTATTCATGGACATTTATTAAACACTACATGCACATTGTACAAGGTGTTGGGGGAAAAGCGACTAACAGAATCTAGGTAGTTCCTGCTTATGATAATTAATTTTATGTGCCACACTAATACACCACCCTCATAGAAATTATAATATAGTGAATCTAATAGTGCCATTCAAAATCTTCAAAATGCAGGCTAAGGTGTTTATAGAATTAAAAATAAAGAATGAATAGGTTATGCTGACTCTTAATCAGTTGTCGGAATTTGAAATAAATTTAGAATGGAGAGCAGGACATTCAAAGCTGATCATACCATTAGGGAAAGGGCAGCATCGGCAAAATACCATACAGAATTTTAAAATTGTATACATGTAAAGGATGTGGTTCCTCAGAATGGATTTCTAGCATAATCCACAAGTTAAACCAGGAAGTCTGTTAAGTTATGTACTTTCTTTTCCTAGAGTATTTGTCAATCAATACCAATTGTTGTATATGCTGGAACATTCATTATATAGTAATTTAAAATTTATAAATTATTTTTATACACATTTTATTTTATGACCCTAACAGCTTTTTGAGACAGGCAAAACAATAATTATTAGACATTTTTAGATAAACTTAATTTAGAGAGATTATCTTATTTGCCCTTGTTTCTCAACTTGTGCATGTTAGAATAAAGACGTAAGTTCCTGGCGCCTAACAGCTCATGTTCTTTGTTTATGGTAGGCTAGCTTAGGTTTCCTTCTATAACAAATGGGGTTCCTAATCATATATGGCTTCCAGCCATGCCACTTTGAGAATTCTTGATAGTTCTTGTGATTAATAATGGATAACCTATGTTTTCTCTGGCATACATACACATGAATTATAAAGAGTATATTTTTGAATTAAAGCCCAATTAAAATATTGTACAAGACCTAGCTTCTTTCGAAACTGTATGGAATTTAGGAAATCCCCATTTATATGCAAGAGGTTGTTCAAAGGCTTATTGTTCCAGGAAAATCACATAATTCTTTGAGATATCAATTTCTTACTAATATGCTCTCATGAGTACCATGAAGCCTCTCTGAAAACCATTCTTGTACAATACCAAAGTAAGGTCCTAAATTCTAGTGCAGATTCATAAAGGAAGTTTTAGAAGCAGTTATCTGACTCTAGCACCATTCAGTTAAGTCAAAAATACAAAAAAATGTATACAAGATGGATCAGTGTATAGAGGTCAGAGGATTCCATAAGGAGGGCTTCTTTGGAGGACGCTGTGCTTTGTATGGAAGTGTCTGCACCTTGCCTTAAGTCCAATGGAGACAAGAGAGTCTGCAACTGGATCATCTGGAGAGCCTAGAATGTGTTACTTGCGATTGGAGACACTCAGGACCTGTGTTTGATGTATACCTGAGAAAGCCAAAGCAGCTAATGGCAGGGCAAAAATAGAAGGAGCAAGATTCTATATTTAAAAAGTAACTACACTCTCAACATCAGGGAAGTCCAGGAATGTGAGCTGGATGGGAGTGAAAGTTGGCAGTCATTTTAAATATTACTCAATAATGTAGCCAGGAAAAAAAATGGGACCCCAATAGGGAGGGACAGGTAGAGCCCCACATATAATATAGTCACTTATACAATTTCCAATCATAGTGTAATTTTCTTTTATTTTGTTCTGTAAAATTCAATATGACATTGTTTTTTCTAATACTTCAGATTTTTACATTTCATATTGTAAGTGGATGCATATTATTGTATGTGATATTATATAGATGATTATTTACCTGTGCCTGGAAATTTAAATCGGTTCCTGTTGTTTTGGTTTAGATTCTTTTCTATTTATTTGTTTTTTTTTATTTTGCTGCTGTAAATAATCCTGATATTAACATATTTATTTATATAGCTATTTCTTACCTTTAAATCTCTTTTTCTTAAACTTTGTGAAATGTTTTCTATGTGTCAGTTCATATAATTGAATATTTTAAAGCATATACTTTGCTTATGACTAAAAGCTATGGTGTTGCAAAGATTTTTTTCATCCTTACATAATTGTAATGTGAGTGCTTTATGGTAGTGGCAAAACTTGTAACAATTTCTTATTGATTTTAATTATAATTAATTACTTTGTCATTAATGGTTTATATGCAGACAAAATCCTCACTCTACAGTTTAGTATTACATGCAGTCAGGCAAACCAAAACACATATTAGATTTATATTTCTAATACAAAAACAAAGATATATTTCAGATAATGCTATGTATCTAGAAAATATAGGAATGTTGACTACAAAAACTGTAGAAAGTTTATTAAAATAAGTTATATAAGCTTTCTATGCATACAATATACTGTCATTCTTTTCTTTTTGACTATTTTAAAATTTCATTTGTATTTTCAAAATTAATGCCCATAATTTATATAAAATTCATGTACATGCATATAATTATACATATGTTCAAACATACATGCATATAAATATACATATGTTCAAACATGTATATATCGTTATGTAGGGAGCATACAATTTATGATATTAAAATTCTTTTACATCATAAGAAACAGCATTTTTTGTCACCCTTTACCAATGAGATTTCATTGTTGTGTTTTTGTTTTGTTTTGTTTTGTTTTTGAGACAGAATCTCACCCTGTCGCCCAGGCTAAAGTGCAATGGCACCATCTCAGCTCACTGCAACCACCACCTCCCAGGTTCAAACCATTCCCCTGCCTCAGCCTCCTGAGTAGCTGGGATTACAGGTGCCCACCACCACACCCAGCTATATATATATATTTTTTTCGTATTTTTAGTAGAGACAGGGTTTCACTATGTTGGCCAGGCTGGTCTCAAACTCCTGACCTCGTGGTCTGCCCACCTCGGCCTCCCAAAGTGCAGGGATTACAGGCATGAGCCACCGCTCCCGGCCACCACCTAGATTTCTCTCACCAAAAGAAACTGGGCTTAAGGAGGAAAAAGAAGAAATTATAATGTATATTGGAATTCTTACTATCAACACCATATTTTATATAAATACATTCCTATTAATGAGCAATTAACCAGTCGAAGCCTAAGAAAGATGAACTATTCCCTATGTATTTTTTTTTCTGTTTTTGTGATGCTGTATAACAGATGGAATTTTATGTCATGATGCATTAGTATACTGTTAAATTTTAATTTCAATTAATGATCTTTATACTTTTATGCACATGAGGGATATTTTAGGCATTCATTTCCCTTCTAATTAGCTTTTATTGCTGAATTCATTCTGAATCAGGAAGTCATTAAATGCTAAAACATTCACAGCTGAATTTACTTATCCCTAATAAAATAAATTAGTCCTTTGAACAAAGAAATGTAAAATTTTTATTTAACCAACCTAGATTTAAATTGGGTACACACACTCACACAAACACACAAATGTATACACACACACATATACACACAATATTTCCCTGAACAGAATTCTGATCATATTGTCTGGCAATGGCCATATAGAATTCATTGGATACTCATTTTCTATTATTTCCTATTTTTTGCATGTTTCAAGAACATCTTAATGTTCCCTGAAAATATAATACACTGTCATAGCTTTGAGCCTTTGTTCTCCTGTGGGAGAAAGTATTTCTCTTCTTTTTTTATTTAACCAACTTCTAACCACACATCCAGATCCAGTTTTAACAATTTTTAGATGTGAAAACTTGACATAGAAACAAAACTATTATAAAAGAGATTTGATGATGTAAATCTCTTAAGCTTCTAAAATTTATTGCAAAGAGTAAAATACCGAAAGAGTCAGAGATAAGTTAATCAAAAACAAGTTACTTAAAAATTAAATTTATGAAACAGTTTAAATGGAACAAAGTAGCATCCCTTTAAATAAAATAACCACTCTATGCTAGATGCAGTGGCTCATACCTGTAATCTCAGCACTTTTGGAGGCTGAGGCGGGTGGATCACTTGAGGTCAGGAGTTTGAGACCAGCCTGGCCAACATGGTGAAACCCTATCTCTACTAAAAATACAAAAATTAGCCAGGCATGCTGGAGTGCATCTGTAGTCCCAGTTACTTGCGAGGCTGAGGCAAGAGAATCCCTTGAACCTGGGAGGTGGTGGTTGCAGTGAGCTGAGATCGGCCACTGTACTCCAGCCTAGGCAACAAAATGAGACTCAGTCTCAAAAAAAAACCCAAAAAAACAGAAACCAAAAACCAAAACCAACCAACCAAACAAAAAACAAAAACAACAACAACAACAACAGCAAAAAACCACTCCAACTATACTAGTGAAATTTTCCTATATAGCCTCTTGGGCCATTTTTTTTTTCTAAAAAGCAGGGTCGGCCGGGCGCAGTGGCTCACGCCTGTAATCCCAGCACTTTGGGAGGCCGAGGCGGGCGGATCACGAGGTCAGGAGATCGAGACCATCCCGGCTAAAACGGTGAAACCCCGTCTCTACTAAAAATACAAAAAATTAGCCGGGCGTAGTGGCGGGCGCCTGTAGTCCCAGCTACTTGGGAGGCTGAGGCAGGAGAATGGCGTGAACCCGGGAGGCGGAGATTGCAGTGAGCCGAGATCCCGCCACTGCACTCCAGCCTGGGCGACAGAGCGAGACTCCGTCTCAAAAAAAAAAAAAAAATAAGCAGGGTCATAGTTCAAAATAGAAATAATAAGAAAAATTTGTTTTGTTTTTAGTGACTTTTCAAAACTATATTTCTTGGGCCCAAATCATAAAATCTGAATGAAACTCTGCAATAATTTACATTTGAAAAGACCTTCCCAATTGATTTAAATAATCAGTCACATTTAGAAACCAGTTTTCCTAGACAAGATTTAATAAACAAATAATAAATACATAGTCATTAAAAACTAATCATCCCATAAATAAATTTCCAAAGAGGTGATCCTATATAGTTTAGATTACTTAAAGAGATTCAATTATTTACTTTTCTAAACATTGTTCCAAATTGTATTGTATTTTACCTTCCTTTTTATTCTTTATTCATTGAACATTTATATTATAGTTCCAGGTTCTTAAGGTATTAACATGAAATAAACACAAATGCACCTGGAATCTTATACTCTAGAATAAGTGTATAGAAGGCAAAGGTTATCAAAATAGCATTTAAAATGCTTTGCAAGATTCAAAATTACTAATTCAATGCTATTCAGCAGATATTTTTTGAGTTACTTCTTAACTGTCTCCCTGTACTGAGTGTTAGGTAGATAGGAGATTCTAAGACAGTCATTTGTTAGTTTTTCCGTTACTATAAAGAAATAACTGAAGCTGGGTAATTTACAAAGAAATGAGGTTTTAGTTTGGCTCATGTATCTTCAGCTATATAGGAAGCATGGTGCCAGCATTTTCTTCTGGTGTGGGCCTCAAGAAGCTTCCAATCAGGGCAGAAAACGATGGGGAGCTGGCACATCACATAGTGAGAGCCGGAACAAGAGAGAGAAAAGAGGTGCCATCCACTTTGAAGCAACTAGATCTTGAGTGAACTCAGAGCAAGAACTCACTAATCACTGAAGGGATGGCACTAAACCATTCATGAAGGACCTGCCCTCATGATCCCATCACCTCCCACAAAGCCCCAAATTCAACATTGGGAATCACATGAGATTTGGATGGAACAAACAGCCTAACCTTACCAGTCTGAAGGATCCTGTCCCCAGCAGTTTATAGCCACATAATAATTTCAATAAAGTGAGCTAAGAGTTTTGATAAGGGAACGTTTAAAGTCTCATTGTAAGTAATAGCAATCAGGCAGGAAATTCAAATTTAGAAGATAGCTGTGGTTGTTAATTCTGGCTGTACACAGAATAACCCAAAATGCTTTCAGTAACCTCAAGGACCAGTCTTCAACCCAGATCAATTAAATCACAATATTTCCTTTTAGGATCCAGGTATTAGTATTTATTAAAGTTCCCAAGTGTTTTCAATGTGCAACCAATAAGAAAATCTATTGGTTAGCGATGACATTCTAGAAGATAGTATTTTTTGTCTGATTGTTCATATAAATAGTAGTCAAACTAAGGGAAAAGGTGAAGTCAGGTGGGGGCAGAGGATCAGGATGTTATTCAGGAAGAAGAAAAATTATTGCATGACTTATGGATTTGAAAATTGAAAGATATCAATAAAGTTTAATGCAATAGAGATGATTCCTTGATAGAATAAAAGAAAAGAAACTATAGGATCTGGTAAATTACATTGACGTAAAATATTTAAATTTATCTCAAAGGTAGAGAAATCTCAAATATTTCTGTGCTTAAGAAACACTTAGGAATCTTTCCGAAAGCATAATTTTCTGGGTCCGCATGTCCCAGAGATTGCGATTTCTTAGGTCTGCAGTTGAAAACAGAAATGTTTATTTTTAATAAATACTCCTACATTATTTTGACATAAGTCGTGTAACAACAATTTAGAGAAACAAGAAGGGGAATACAATTCAGATTTGCTATTTAGAAAGATTCTTAGGGGGTATAAAATGAATTTGAGAAGCTCAGTGCTCAATTCCCACCTATGAGTGAGAACATGCGGTGTTTGGTTTTTTGTCCTTGTGATAGTTTGCTGAGAACAATGAGAACACTTGGACACAGGAAGGGGAACATCACACACCGGGGCCTGTCATGGGAAGGGGGGGAGTGGGGAGGGATAGCATTAGGAGATATACCTAATGTAAATGACGAGTTAATGGGTGCAGCACACCTACATGGCACATGTATATATATGTAACAAACCTGCAAGTTGTGCACATGTACCCTAGAACTTAAAGTATAAAAAAAAAAAAACAAAAAACGGACAGAGACGCTCAGTGCTAGACTCAGAGATACCAATGTGTCCCTAGGGATTGTTGCAATAGCTTAAGCAAGAAGGGACTAAAGAGGGGATTTTGATTGGTGGCAATGGAGATGAAGAACATTTTACTTTTGTGGTGATTTTTTCAATCTTTTTTATATTTTATGTTTTTTGTTTCTAATGTGAATCAACGTTTTTTTAAAAAACTGAAGCAATGTAAGTACTAAAACAGTTTCCTTGGTATTATCTCTTATTTGTCGTTTTTACCTTTATTATGAACTATATGTTCAATGCTTAGTTTTCTCTTAAGGACAACTATTTAATTATCTAAGGGCCAATTGTCTTGCTAATTGATTACCAGATCCTTTGCTGCTTATATGTCAGTAGTCCTCAGAATTTATAAAGTTGGCTAGACACGGAAGGAAAAATATATGAATTGTACATTAACAAGCTTAGCATGTTTGCTCTCTCTTACACCTTAACCTTACACATTAAATAGATAGAATGCTAAATGCCATTTATTAATTGTTTTTGTTTAATTAAAACTAAAATGTTCATTATCACACACAGCATCTTACTTCTAAGAAGTAATTTTTAAGTAAGTTTTAATTTTATTCTCTACCTATATGTATTAGTTCATTTGCATGCTGCTGATAAAGACAGCAGATATTGGGTAAATTTATAAAGAAAAAGAGGTTTAATGGACTCACAGTTCCATGTGGCTGGGGAGGCCTCACAATCATGGTGGAAGGTGAAAGGCACATCTTATATGGTGGCAGGCAAGAGAGAACAAGAATCAAGCAAAAAGGGTTTCCCCTAAGATCTCATGAGACTTACTACCATGAGAACAGTATGAGGGAAACTGCCCCCATGATTCAATGATCTCCCACTGGGTTCCTCCCACAACACATGGGAATTATGGGAGCTACAATTCAAGAAGAGATTTGGGTGGGGACACAGCCGAACCATATCACTATCCGAGCACACATCTTAGTTTTGCATAAAGCATTTAATGTTCTAAAAATTAGTGCTTAAATTTACCACACATGACGTGAGCCCTCAATTTCTTTGTAGAGCAAATGATGATAAATATGTTATTGAATACCTCCTTTGTAAAAGGTATTTTTCCTATACCTGAAAAAAGAAAAACAGCTCAGAGCAGTCTGTGTTCTGTGAGGTGTAAAAAATGCATGAGGTCCAGAGAGATAAGAGTATGGGACTTCAGCCACACCTCCCACACACAAGCCTGGGATCAACTGTTTAAAGACGTTTTGTTTCTGTTTAGTTGCCTCACCCATTTTCTTCATAATCCTGGAATTTGTGATACCAAAAATATGTATAGTCAATCATTAGCTTATGGTATTGTAATATAAATTCTTGGTAAATAACTTAGGAACTGCCTCTTCTTTTACTGTTAAAACCTACATTCAACTGCTGTAATTAGAATGTATATTCAGGGCTACTTGAGTTTATACTCCTGAGTTGCAATTGAGAAATAAAAATAAATTATAAGTCCCCCAACTAACTGGATGGAATGTCTCTTGGTCAAGGAGATCCCAGAAAAACCTTAAAAACAGAGTTCATGGCCATGACAGGATATATTGGTCATACTTTGGTATGCCCCTTTCTTAATAACCTTTAACCAGAGTTCTTTCTTAAGGAGTAAGCAGAAACCACCTTTGGAAAACAAGAAATGGATGACTCGTTCCTTCATCACTTTAAACCAATCATCTAAGGCTGAGACCAGATCCCCTCTCCTTCTTTGCAGTTTGGATGTGACAGCTCACCAGTTTCACAAGACACCCTTCCTAAAAACTGACCACCATCTCAGGACTGGCTTTGGCTGGTTCAAAGAGCAAGTGCAGTGAGAAATTTTGTGTCCTCTACATCACCTTTTGATGTCAGAGGGCTGAAAATTCCACCCTTGAATTCTGCTAATGCTGCCAGTTTTTGAACATGTAACCCTCGAAGAGGCATGAAGCTCAATTGCCAGCACGTTTCCACTTTCATAAATATTCATGACTTCTTCTATAGCTTATTGAATATGTATACTTAGCCAACTCGTTCAGCATAAATTCCTGTCTTTTCCTTCCCTCTCTTGAAGTGCTTGCTCTTGGTGTCTACAGAGGCTGTGTTTCCCAGCCTGCTGGATGGCTAGCCTGCAGGCTGCAATCCTTTATGAGAAACAAAACTCTCTTTTCCAGATTTACGGTCCTCATCATTGTTCAGCTGACACAATCTTCAAGCTTGGTCTCAATAAATTCTTTACCGTATTACTTTTGCCTCAGCATTTTTTCTTTTCTTTTCTTTTCTTTTCTTTTCTTTTCTTTCTTTTCTTTCTTTTTTTTTTTTTTTTTGAGACAGAGTTTTGCTCTTGTTGCCCAGGCTGGAGTGCAACGGCACGATCTTGGCTCACCGCAAACTCCACCTCCCAGATTCAAGCGATTCTCCTGCCTCAGCCTCCCGAGTAGCTGAGATTACAGGCATGCACCAGCATGCCCAGCTAATTTTGTATTTTTGGTAGAGATGGGTTTTCTCCATGTTGGTCAGGTTGGTCTTGAACTCCCAACTTCAGATCATCCTCCCACCTTGCCCTCCTAAAGTTCTGGGATTACAGGCGTGAGCCACCGCACCCGGCCAGCTTTTTTTCTTCTAGGTCAACATATCTGATACTATACATAATAAAATTTTAGTAAAGAGAAAGGGTAAAACAACTAATAAAATGAGAATTTTAGCTTAGTTATTTATTTTATAATTGCAGGTCTTTTTTTTTCTTTTTCTGAGACTAGGCGAGATCGAGTGAATTCAGGGTGGATGGTCATGGACCAGGTTTTTTTTTTTTTTTTTTCCATCACCATAGATGATAACCTGTCTCTCCATGTCTGATTGAACTTTTATTTATTTTCTTTTTAATAGTAAAGATTCTGTATTAGCTGCAACTTATTTTGACTTTGGTCCTCCTGATGCTGTCCACATATTCTTGAACTATACTTGCCTACTTATCTTTGAGATGTCCCCATAACTAATCTTTAAAAAGTTCACACTTTATTCAAATAATCTACCAAGTGACTCTTTTATATTTTATTTCCATAGGTATAGTTTATGTCTTTGCCCTTATTATTACCTCTTAGAAACTGGCAGTTTCCAATTTTGCTATAGACTTCTGTCAATGTGTTCTTTCTTACTACTTGTATGAGCTTGCTGATGCATAGGTTTTTAAAGTCCATTTTCTTGGTTTTTTCATTCCCTTCCAAATCATGATCATTATCTCCTAAATTGCTTTCCACTATTACCTTTTCAGCATATGAAATATAGGTAATGAAAAGCATTGCTATAGCATTTGGTCATCTAGTTTGAAATTTAGGGTCTTTAGAAAAGTTTTAATAGTTGAAAGTAGTATTCTGTTTGTAATTTGACAATTTATTTTAAAACTGTTTCAAAATATGTTCAAATGATTTAAAGGTGATCCATTTATTTGGCAACATGTTTCTTTGGGTGCCTAAACTTACTGAAATAATCACCTTATTTAAGAATTTTTAGGAAAACTGTTCAATCTAGGTTGGATATTTCAGTATGTTTAAAAAAGTGTTTCCATCTATCTGTCCCCATCTATCTGTTTGTTTTGGGTCAGTGTTCCTCTTCATTTTTATTGTTTTCCTATTAGAAATCTTACTGTGTTTATCAATCAGTTATGTCATTTTTTAGTATTTAGATATAAATGTTATTCACTATAACCTCTATGCAGTTTACAGTGTAATAATACTCTAATAAAGTTAATATCGATCTGTATATTGATAATGACAAACTAACAGGTAACAGATGGTGCTCATTTATGATGTTTTGAAAAGTGAAACCCATTTTCTATAGGTTTGGATTTTAAACCCCCAAAATCTTTCAGAAATCACCTACTTAAAAAAACCATCTGCTATACGTACATTATTTCCTAAGTACTTATATTCTTTCTCATATCTAAAACATGCCTGCACATCAGCATACCTTTATACAGCCAATGACAGACTTTATTTTCAAAAACTGCCATATGTTTGTGAAAGCATTTTGAGTCAAAATACAAAATTGCAACAAATTTAGTTTTAAAGAATCTTAATTGGCTTTTATTTGTGATTCCAGAATTGGGCAACATCTCACTCCATAAAATAGAACAAGTATTCCAATGAGCTGAACAGAAGTTGGCTTTACAGGCGGAAAATAGCTGCAAAAAAGAGAGACAGAGAACAAAATGCCAATTTGTCTGTTATAGTTACTTTTCTCTTAGTATTAAAACAATGGGGATTTCCTTATTACACTGACTCAGGTTGATTGGAATCTCCTGTTTTAATTGATCCATTTCAAAGTTCAGTTTGATTACTTGGCATGTAGCACAAGTGATAGTCCTCAGGTTCAGTCTAGTCTACTGAAGCCTAGTGCGAGAAGCTAGTCTAAAACAATGGCCTCCCATAAACGTTCTTTAATATGAGGTTAAGAATAGGAATCTTGAAATATGCTTTCAATTATTGTTTTAAGTTAAAAAATAATATTTGTTATGAAAAATATTACCTTGGGTAATGTTGACAAAATTACTTGGGTATTTTTGGTTTAAACAAATTATTGGAACTGTGACAATATTAAACTTAACCCAAGCCACGTGTTTCTGGAAAGTAGCAGTAGTTAAGAGAGGAAACTTCTCACCCGAAACTTTTTGTCTTCCATACAATGGCTTACCACAAAGAACCAGCTCTCTTCAAATGACTTAGATAGCATTTACTCATGTCCCTTTTTTATGTATGAAAAGGCCAGACACACATCCTGGAAAATACCATTCTTTGTCTTACAAATAATTAGCTGATCTGTTTATTCCCCTTAACTCAATCTGGACAAAATATCTGTTAACTTGACTTTGACCAACTCTTACTTAGTCTTATCTCCCCCCCGGCCCCTGAACTTGACGACTCTTAATCTAAGCCAGCATCAGAATGTAAAACAACCCCTCTCTAAAGCCCCTCCTAAGAATTGGCTGACTACAAAGACATTTTCTGGTCAATAATTTGATCACACCACCCACCCACTCCCACAGTAGGATTCTTTTTAGCCTGTTTTCTCTGTCTGACCTTTGAAACACTTACTAGTCTCACAGTTGGAGGTTGGGGGGTCCTGTTGCAACAGTCCACCTCCCCTAATGCAATAGCTGCCATTCCCTTATTGCAGTAATCCTTTAGAATAAAGTCTCTCTAAGTCCAAAGTTCAGATTTGTTTTCATTTGATAAATGTAACAACAAGAGGCATAAGAAATTCTCGCTTAAATGGACTCTGAATATGTTTGAGCCCAACATGTGGACATAGATATTTGTTAACTCTCAAAACTAATTTTGTGAGCTAGAGAGACGCTATGTGCATAAGTGTGTTTGGCAGGGGTGGGGCAAGGGGGTGTGTGTGTATGTTTGTGTGTGTGTGTGTGTGTGTGGAAAACAGGCACTTTATTTCTAAATAAATGCTGGAAAAATACATTATATAACATACTGAAGAAAAATAGTTATATAATTACCTAAGATATTGGTTTCTGTTTATATTATTTGTGATTTGAAGAGAATTTGCGACTTAAGTACAAAGTAAAAAATGGTGAATATTCAATTAAGAAAGGGAAAAGAAAGAAAAAGAAAAGCAAAAGATCTAGACTTTCAGAAGCCCACAGAATATTGGAAAGACAAATTAAATAAACAGGTGCTTATAATAACTTACAATTAAATGAGAATATATAATAATTTACTTTTTGTCCATTATAGAGTTAGAGGCTTTGATATTATATAACTCAAGGGAGAGTTAGGATAGATGGCATTGATATATCAGAAAAGAAAACTAACAAAGTAAGAAAAGGGAAGGAGAGATTTCAGGAAAGACATTCAAGGCTCACAGAAATCTTGTATAAGGTGGCTGACACCTGTAATGCCAGCACTTTGGGAGGCCGAGGCGGGCAGATCACGAAGTCAAGAGTTCGAGAAGAGCCTGACCAACAGGGGTTTAGTGAAACCCCGTCTCTACTAAAAATACAAAAATTAGCTGGGTGTGATTGCACGTACTTGTAATCCCAACTACTCAGGAAGCTGAGGTGGGAGAATCGCTTGAACCCAGGAGGCGGAGGTTGCAGGGAGCCTCTGCACTCCAGCCTGGGTGACAGAGCGAGACACTGTCTCACAAAAAGAAATATATATATAATATAGTATATATATGTTATATAAATATATATTATTATTACATAAATATAATATATTATTATTACATAAATATGTATTATAATTATATAAATATAATATATTATATAATATATTATATTATATATTATATAAATAATATAAATAATATATAAAATAATATATAATATAATATATATTATATATTATATATTATATAAATATAAATATATTGTAAGATAATATATATTATATTATAATATATAACATATAATAATATATATTATATAACATATAATAAATATTATAATATATAACATATAATATATAATATATAATAATATATAATATATATTATATAACAAATATATAGTTTTGTGTGTGTATATATATATATATTTGTTTGAGGAAAGATAGAGAAATTGTGCTCCTGTTATCTTCAATATAGTTTCTCTATTGTTCAAGACTAAAATACACAGAAAGCGGTTTCAGAAATTCTAGTCCCTAGCACTATGAAAAGCACCTTTATTGTTTATAATTAAATATGTTTATAGATTATATTTTGTTTAGGTAAAATTTACATTCTGTAAGATACCAAAATCTTGAAACATTCTATTTGATTAATTTAAACAAATGCATATATCTGCACAGCGTGATTCCTATTAATATACAAAACATTCGTAAAGTTCCGGAAAGCTTTCTCCTGCCCCTCCCCATTCAATTACCCCCTAGATATAGTATCTTTTTAGGAAATTTTGATCATACATTAGTTTTATCAGTACTACAACTTCATATAAGTGGAATTACACAGTATTACACAGCATGCCCCACTTCTTTTCCTCAATATGATGATATAATACCTCTGATTTCCATCCATGCTTTTGTATATATCAGTAGTACTTTCTGTCTTCTTGTTGTTAAATAATATTTAATTAATATAATATAGGATATTTAGTATTCTATAGAATGTTATATAACTAAATATGTTTATATATTTTCCTCCTCACGAATATTTGCTTTGTGCCAGTGTGAGGAAGCTATGAATAAATTTGCTGTGACTATGGGTATACAAGTCATTTTGTGGACATATTTTCTTGATGAGTGTCTGGAAGTACAACTGCTAGGTCATATTGAGTCTTATTTAACATTATAATGTACTGCCAGGAGTTTTTCCTAAGTGATTGTACAATTTACACTTCCATTAGCAATGTATGTGAGTGCCAGCTTGTCAGCATTATTAGGAAAATTGGTGTAAACCTGTGCAATTATAGCCATTCAAGTGGGTATGAAATTCAATGTTAATAAGTTTTAAATTTTCATTTCCTTGAAAACAGATGACATTGGGCTCTTTTTCTTGTGTTTTTTGGCTTTTCTTGCATTTTTCTTTGTGTAATATCTCCTTCACAATGTTGCCAACTTTTTATTAGTCATATATCTTTTAACTTTTAAGTTGTGATGGTTGTTTGTATATTTGGGTACAAGTTCTTTATCACATGCTTGAAACTATTTTCTCAGTTTGTTGATTGACTATTTTTAACAGTGATTTTCAAAGAGCTATTTTAAAAATTTTGATAAAGCTGAACTTTTTTTTAGATTATTGTTTTCTCTGTTTTAAGAGATCTTTGCTTATTTTGAAAGATCTCATACCACCACATTTTAAAAAAAAATTCTTCTTGAGTTAGGTTTGGCAGAATGTGTCTCTTTTCTATTTCCCTTGTTTAGTTCCTTAGTACGAAAGTAGCAATAGGTAATACGTGAACACAGAGTTATGGTTTATTTCAATAAATACTTTATTTACAAAGTATTTATTTTCCCTTACTGCTTCAAAGATTTTTCTGATAATCATTCATGTTAAAAATTTTGATTATGCATATGAAAAAAGCTCAACATCACTGATCATTAGAGAAATGCAAATCAAAACCACAGTGAGATACCATCTCACAGTAGAATGGCTGTTATTTAAAAGTCAAAAAATAACAGATGCTGGCAAGGTTATGGAGAAAAAGAAACACCTATACACCGTTGGTGGGAGTGTAAATTAGTTCAGTCATTGTGGAAGACAGTGTTGTGATTGTTCGAAGATCTAAAAGCAGAAATATCATTTGACCTGGCAATCCTGTTACTGGATATATGCCCAATGGAATGTAAATCATTCTATTCCTTGAATGAGGATGTTCATTGCAGCACTATTCGAAATAGCAAAGACATGGAATCAATCTAAATGCTCAACAATGATAGACTAGAAAAAGAAAATGTGGCACATATGCACCATTAAATACTATGCAGTCCCAAGAAAGAATGAGATCATGTCGTTTGCAGCAAAATGGGTGGAGCTGGAGGCCATTATCCTTAGCAGACTAACACCAGAAGAGAGAACCAAATACCACAGGTTCTCACCTATAAGTGGGAGCTAAATGATGGGAACACATGGACACAGAGAGGAGAATAACACATGCTGGAGCCTTTTGAAGGGTGAAGGGTAGGAGGAGAGAGAGGATCAGGAAAAATAACTAATGGGTACTAGGCTTAATACCTGGGTGATAAGGTAACCTGTTTAACAAACCCCAATGATGCAAGTTTTCCTATGTAACAAACCTGCACTTGTGCCCCTGAACTTAATATAAGTAAAAAAAAAAAAATCAATCCTGATTTCTCTAAAATAAATTGATTATGATGTACTTCTTATGAAAGAATTTAATCTTGCCCAAAAGAGGTCTGGTCTTCGCCTTATAAGAATGTGGTTATTTCCCTGTGGGTCTTGAGTCACCAGACAGTTTAACAATATGATTTAGCATTGAAGCTGGCCGCAGTGTATCTAGGAGTTGGGGAGATGATGGGGGAGGTTGGATGAGTGGGTAACCATTCCAGAAAGAACAACAATAACTTTAGAATAGGGACAATCAGTCATATTCTATCCATTGATCTAAAGAGTGGCTAGAAACTGAGAACAACCACGTGGGCAATCAGTCACGACTATATGATGAAGCCCCCAAGGAAAACTTGAGACACTGAAATTTTGGTGAGTTTTCCTGGTTGCCATATTCCATGCATATTGCCACACCTTGATGCCAGGAAAGTAATGTCGTTTTGACGCTATAAGGTGAGGAAAATTGGAAGCTCCACATTTAAAACTCTTCTGGACTCTTTTCTGTGTGCTTCTTTCCCTGGCTAATTTTAGTCTGCATTGTTTCCTTTTAATAAGCTATAAACGTGAGTATAGCAGCTTTTAGTGAGTTCTGTGATTCCTTCTAGCAGATTATTGAAACTCAGAGTGATTTTGAGAATCCTGCTTACCTTGAAATTGATGTCATAAACGAGGGTGGTCTATAGACTGTCCCCTCTAAGCTATGCAGTTGCTTAACTCTGTTGTATTTTTTGTGAATTTTTTTTTTGTATTTCGTGTTGTCTGTGTTTATCTTGTTTAGGTTTTGTTGAGTTTCCATGATCTGTTGACTTAGAGATGTGTAGAGTGCCAACTTTAAATCTTTGCTAAGATAAATATAACTACATGTGTACATAAGAAGACTCCATGTTTATAGGAATTTGGCTCCCCTCAAGTTTTTCTATAGATTTAGCACAATCCCATTAAAACTCAAACAAGCTTACCTTAAGAATTGACAAGTTGATTTCACAATTTATATGGAAATGCCAAAGACCTAGAATATTTAAAACAATATTTAAAAATACAAACTTAAAAGCCAAATAGAGACAAATTAATAATGAAAGAAAAACATGGAATAGGTATAAAGTTATCTAGGATATCAACAAATGTTTGCTAATATATGTAAAATGTCAAATACAATGAGTAAATTTGTAGGAAAATGATTTGCCAAAATTTACTTAAGCACAAATTGAAAATATCAGTCAGCCCTGAAACCATTAACCTGTTTTATTAAGCATTTAAACAGTTGCACACCAAAAAAATGTAATTGTTTTAAGGGTGCTTACTACCAAAAATTCATGAAACAGATCATTGCAATTTTACAGAGTTATTCTAGAGAAAATAAAAAGAGAGATTATTATTATGCAACTCATTTTATAATTCTGGTACCAAAACTGACAAGGACAATATGAGAAAAGAAAATTATATAACAATATTATTTATTAACACAGATAAAGATCTTAAAACATTAGCAAATCAAATTTAACCATGGATTAAATAATAAAGAGATGCATCATAACCATTTCTTCAACCCTTCCCTAACAGTGTTCACCTCTCACATCACAAGATATTGTCACCTGTAGAGAAGAACAAAGGTAGTTTTGAAACATTGATGAGTTTTCTGTTGTTGCGTTTATCAATGTAGTGTGTTAGTCATTTCAGCGGATTTTAAAGCTTGATAAAGTCCCTATTACACTAAGAATAGACTGTGAGTGGCACAGACACACATTTATAGATATGTGATAAGGGCAACTTTCTCTATTGCTATTTAAATCATTATCATACATTGAAAGCAGTGGTGTTACAAGGTCAACTAGAATTTTTTCTTTTTTCCAGTTGATTGAATCCAGGTCGTCTGTCACAATGTGATCAAACTAATGACTAATGCCAGTGATGGGGAAAGTCTCTGGTTGTGTTTTTTACTTGCAAAGCACGAGTCTCTGGAACCTTTGTCTTAGGAGAGTAAAGCATAGAGCATGGTTTCCTGTGAGCAGTGGAAGAACAATAAACACGTGCTCCCCAGAATCTGCTGAATTTGCTATCTAGAGAAAATGAGATATTGCCTAACAATTAAGGTACATTAAGCAGCTGTTTCTTTCTATATTGAGCTAATACTGCTCTGAAATTGTAAATTGTTGATGGGAGATCAGAATCAGAAAGAAACAATATCATTTCCCATTTCTTTAGCAGTTCATTTTATGATTATCATAAGAAGCAAGTATTTTTGCAGCTGGTAGTGACTAGAAATAAAATATGACACGCCAAAAAAACTGCTTAAATGAATAAATAGTAAAAAGTAAAATTATTGGAACATGCTAGTTGATAATTCTTTACAGTTAAAAACAAAAAGTCAACTCACCCAAAGCTCACATAGAACTATTGGAAGAGTTAAAGTTAAGTAATACTAATGTTGGGCATGTCTCTTTTCCATTTGAAACTGAAAAATGTACAAGAATAAGCTGGAAAATACACAATTCTTTTTAATATTATAGAGACTAATGAGTACTCCAAAAGTAAAAATAAAAATGCCTAAAGAACTCAATTTTTTTTAAGGTATGTCAGTTCTTTTTTATTTACCCTACCAAATTCCCCTTCCCTCAATTTTAATCTCATATATACATGTATATGATTAAACTGGCCTTAAATTAGCACATTTTTATCACCTATGCTTTAGCAAAAATTGTATTCTACAAGTAAGTTAATTTAGAGAACTCTCAGCTACACCAGTAGGCCTCCAACACTCATAGACTCAACTGCGTGCATTCATTTTGAGAGTTCTTAACTGCTAGATTCATTCAGACTTACCTCCTTTGCCTAATTTTCAGAAATTAGCAGTGTATTGGAGATTATTCCATATCATCCCTTTTTGTCATAGAATATCACTATTTTTATTTTTTTTAATACAAGTGGTCACATTGGTTTTAGATACTTATGCATGGTTAGAAGGAGTTGGCTTAGAGCTGATGCTTAAGAAATGAGTATACAATGGGCTGGGCATGGTAGCTCACACCTGTAATCCCAGCATTTTGGGAGGCTGAGGTGGGTGGATTGCTTGAGCTCAGGAGTTCGAGACCAGCCTGGGCAAAATAGTGAAACCCCTGTCTCTATTGAAAAAAAATTAAAAAAAGAAATGGGTATACAATGTAAAATGTCCCATAGAGAAAAAAACAGATGCAATTCAGTAGTATATTTTGAGTATTGTGCCGAATCTAAGGCTCAGGCTGTATGAAAGGTAGGAAAGGAAAGAAGCAATAAGATAAAAGGTCAACATCCTGTTTCTTGATCTGACTGGTGGTTACATAGTGGTTACTTTGTGATGATTCCTTGACCTATGTACACTTTTGTGCAATTGTCTCATGCACAAAAAAAGTGATATGCCAGCATATTTTTATAAGAATGGTGCTATTTTGCACTGTCTTCTCTCTCTAGTTAGTCTTAAGGAAGTAGGAGGTGATAAGCAATGGGTGGGATGAAGGGGTCAAGGGAGTTTCAGTTTGAATTGGCCATAGTGGTTCTTATCCAGACTGTCAATTTCATAAATTTGGAGAATCTCAGAACTAAAATAAATCTTTCTTTTTCTTTTTTTCTCTGATCCTTTTCCTCCCAATGCACACACATACACTGACTCGAGAACAAAACCAACAATAAATTGAAGATGTTTCTTAGAAAGAATTTATTTTTTCTTTTTTCCTTTTTTTTTTTTTTTTTTTGAGACAGAGTCTTGCTCTGTCACCCAGGCTGGAGTGCAGTGGCATGATCTTGGCTCACTGCAACCTCCACCTCCCAAATTCAAGCAATTCTCCTGCCTCAGCCTCCCAAGTAGCTGGGATTACAGGATTACAGGTGCACGCCACCACGCCTGGCAAATTTTTGTATTTTTAATAGGGACATGTTTTCACTATGTTGGCCAGGCTGGTCTCAAACTCCTGACCTCAGGTGATCCACACCCCTCAGCTTCCCAAAGTACTGGGATTACAGGTGTGAGCTACCACACCTAGCCAGAGAATTACCTTTCTTTTTTTTTTTTTTAACATTGTGATTTTTTTTCCTGTATTTTTATTTTTTATTTATGTATTTATTTATTTTTTATTATACTTTAAGTTCTAGGGTACATGTGCACAACGTGCAGGTTTATTACATAGGTATACGTGTGCCATGTTGGTTTGCTGCACCCATCAACTTGTCATTTACATTAGGCATTTATCCTAATGCTATCCCTCCCCCAGCCCCCTACCCCCTGACAGGCCCCGGTGTGTAATGTTCCCCGCCCTGTGTCCAAGTGTTCTCATTGTTCAGTTTCCATCTATGAGTGAGAACATGTGGTGTTTGGTTTTCTGTCCTTGTGATAGTTTGCTTAGAATGATGGTTTCCAGCTTCATTCATTTCCCTGCAAAGGACATGAACTCATCGTTTTTTATGGCTGTGTATTATTCCATAGTATATATGTGCCACATTTTCTTAATCCAGTCTATCATTGATGGATATTTGGGTTGGTTCCAAGTCTTTGCTGTTGTGAATAGTGCCGCAATAAACATACATGTGCATGTGTCTTTATAGTGGAATGATTTATAATCCTTTGGGTATATACCCAGTAATGCGATTGCTGGGTCAAATGGTATTTCTGGTTCTAGATCATTGAGGAATCACCACACTGTCTTCCACAATGGTTGAACTAATTTACACTCCCACCAACAGTGTAAAAGCCTTCCTATTTGTCCATATCCTCTCCAGCACCTGTTGTTTCCTGACTTTTTAATGATCACTATTCTAACTGGCGTGAGATGGGTATCTCATTGTGGTTTTGATTTGTATTTCTCTGATGACCAGCAATGATGAACATTTTTTCATGTGTCTGTTGGCTGCATAAATAGCTTCTTTTGAGAAGTATCTGTTCTTATCCTTTGCCCACTTTTTGATGGGTTTTTTTTTTCTTGTAAATTTGTTTAAGTTCTTTGTAGATTCTGGATATTAGCCCTTTGTCAGATGGGTAGATTGCAAAAATTTTCTCCCATTCTGTGGGTTGCCTGTTCACTCTGATGGTAATTTCTTTTGCTGTGCAGAAGCTCTTTAGTTTAATTAGATCCCATTTGTCAATTTTGGCTTTTGTTGCCATTGCTTTTGGTGTTTTAGTCATGAAGTCTTTGCCCATGCCTATGTCCTGAATGGTATTGCCTAGGTTTTCTTCTAGGGTTTTTATGGTTTTAGGTCTAACATTTAAGTCTTTAATCCATCTCGAATTAATTTTTGTATAAGGTGTAAGGAAGGGATCCAGCTTCAGTTTTCTATATATGGCTAGCCAGTTTTCCCAGCACCATTTATTAAATAGGGAATCCTTTCCCCATTTCTTGTTTTTGTTTGTCAAAGATCAGATGGTTGTAGATGTGTGGTGTTATTTCTGAGGCCTGTGTTCTGTTCCATTGGTCTATATCTCTGTTTTGGTACCATTACCATGCTGTTTTGGTTACTGTAGCCTTGTAGCATTGTTTGAAGTCAGGTAGCATGATGCCTCCAGGTTTGTTCTTTTTGCTTAGGATTGTCTTGGCTATGTAGGCTCTTTTTTGGTTCCATATGAACTTTAAAGTGATTTTTTCCAATTCTGTGAAGAAAGTCATTGGTAGCTTGATGGGGATGGCATTGAATCTATAAATTACCTTGGGCAGTATGGCCAGTGTTTTAATTGAACAGATATTTTGTTATTACTCCATTAAGCTAGCTTGATTTTTTTTTCACATTACTTAAATACCTTTAGAGTTTCTGAAATATTTAAAAAGTTTAGAAATTAAGAGAAGAAAAATGCTTTGTAGAAAACAAGTGTGTTTTTTCACCGTTGGCCTACCTTAAATGATCCCTATGTCTTAGACCTGTGCAATTTATCATTTTCTTTTATTCTGCATTTTTAAAGAAACATACATAAACACGATGTAGACACAATAAAACAAAATTCAATGTTTGTGCTTATGTGAATACTCCTTTGAAAAATTTTTATTTGTGTTTAGAGATAGTAATGAAATTTTATTATACAACATGAATATTTCAGGCATATCATTTTCCACTGTATGGACAATCAATAAACACTAAGTAACAAATCCCATTCATAAAACTTATCACAGTCTGTTTTGGAAATTTTTTTAAAACTTGGTAAGAATTTAAAAGTTTTGGTTTACTTTTACTGTCTTTCCTTTACTAAAGTTTTTAAGTGATATTATTTTAGGTGATCACACTTTATTGTGGTTCACACCATCATTCTTTTAAGGAAGTTCTGTGATATTAAGGTATCTGTGTGGTAAATGATACATTACCTTTGCAAAGGGATATAATAAAGAAAGAAGAAGATGGAAAATTCTTTTTCTTTATGTTGCAAGGTAACCCATGGACAGAACTCAATATAAATTCTCAAAACTTTGACTTTTATTTCTATGCTAGGCTGCATCCCTTATATTTACTAATTTGGTAGCGGTCATTTTATTTTATTTACTTAGTATTTGTCAAATGCCTTCTAGTCCTTTAGTTATTTTTCCTTTTAATGGATGACCCTTCTGATCTAAAGGTGATGGGTAAGAAAATTGAAACTGTGAAGTCTGGTTGAATGAATTTACCTGACTAAATAAATCTGTATCCACTCATTTTGATAAATGTATTCACAACATCAATAAAAACTCGCCAACTTACTGTTTAACCTATTTCAAATTATTACAACCACAATCATTAATTTATAATTTATGGTATTACAGAGATTTTTTAGGAGGGTTTTGTTTTCATTATAGTGCAGCTTTTATTATTTATATGGTTTTTTAGAACTTAAAACATTTTTAAAAGGTACTTTTGTACTTTAGTCTCACTTCAGTATCACAGAGTGACATAACTAGTGTTAATAAAATTTGCCAGTTGACAGATTAGGAGAATTAAGCTTTGAAGGAGTGACTTAATTATGTTTCTCCAGAAGTAAAGTATATAGTTCAATTTTTATCAAGAGGGCTAAATGAGCTTACTTTTTTGGGTATGTTTAGTACATACCAGAGCATAAAGAAGTACTGCAAATATACACAGAAAACATAAATCAAAAGGGCCTGGAGTTATTTAGTTGGCAGTTGGTTTGATTAGAACTGTTAGGTAATGCTGGGTTAAGAAGCATCAGGGATGGAGAGGAAAAAGTAGAAGTCAGGAGATAGCTCATGTATATTAGTTGGCAAAAGTTAAGAAACGGTTGGAAGACTTAAGAAGGGGCTATTTCTGTGGTCTTTAGAAATATCCTTTATCATTATTTTTTAAGTCAAATATTAACCATGGTGATTGCAGAATATAGTTTACCTGGAAAACCGTACATATGAATATCAAATTATTAAAACAAAATAAACAAATTTAATACTAAGAAGTATCTTGTGTTTATCACATTTGTACTCCCAAATCATCAGTTTTGGATAGAAAGGACAGATGTTATGAATTAAATTTAACACATGACAAAGGTAGAACAGATGTTATACTTTGCCCCCTTCCTTTTTAGCACAAAATAATTAGTCTTTATGAAATGTGAGGCACATCCTTTACCCATTGTGCTATAAATATTTTATTCCATTATTTTCAAGAAATACATGGCTCCTAAATTTGTGATTTTCTTGAGTATAGAGGTTGTTTATATAATTATGCTGATGTGTGCTAGATTCAGCTGATCTTATCTTACATGATTTTAGGAATGCTAGTGGATTGGCTAGAGGCAGCTGTTGGGGTGAGGATGACTTTATTTCAGACAGCTCTCTTTCCTCCGTATGTCTCTCACATCTTCCCATCAGGGTTTTCTGAACATGTTCTCATGATGGTGGCTCGTTGTTCATGAGATGAAGTAGAAATACACAAACATTTTTTCAAGCCTCTTCTCACATCAGGTTTGCTCCTTTTCCATTGAACAGGGCAAGACACAAGACTTGCCACAAAGTGTGGAGAAACATACTTTCCCTTTTTGTTGAATCACAATGCAAAAACCTGACTTCAGAAGGGCTGAAAAATTCAGCCCATATACTCAAATGATGTACACAATAATGTTTCTTCCATAGATAACTATTGAAAATCTGTAGAATCTCAGGTAAAGGTTATAGAAACGGTTCCTGTGATGCAAGGAAATGGAAGAGAATTTTAGGCTGCTATAGGCTGCAAGACAGAACAGAATAATATTCTGAAGAGTGTAGTCTTGGTTGATTAGGATTATGGGAGATTCTTGAAATTAAATTATATGAATAAATTTATGAGGAAAAAGGGTCTTGATGTTTTCACTCTGATGACAATGTTTGATGTAAAGATAATAAGGTGGAAATTATAAGCTAAAATGTTATCTACTTTGGTGTTTGCCAAAGTTTAAAAGAGATGAACAGTGAGATACAGGAAAGACAACTTGATTTAAGATATTTCTCATTGGCCGGGCGCGGTGGCTCACGCCTGTAATCCCAGCACTTTGGGAGGCCGAGGCGGGCGGATCACGAGGTCAGGAGATCGAGACCATCCCGGCTAAAACGGTGAAACCCCGTCTCTACTAAAAATACAAAAAATTAGCCGGGCGTAGTGGCGGGCGCCTGTAGTCCCAGCTACTCGGGAGGCTGAGGCAGGAGAATGGCGTGAACCCGGGAGGCGGAGCTTGCAGTGAGCCGAGATCCCGCCACTGCACTCCAGCCTGGGCGACAGAGCGAGACTCCGTCTCAAAAAAAAAAAAAAAAAAAAAAAAAAAAAAAAAAAAAAAAAAAAAAGATATTTCTCATTATGGTCATACTTTAACTTTCTATAGTTCAGTATTTAGTCTCCTGTTTCAATTGTGCCAGATGTAAATTTTCATTTTTTTTTCATTTTGGATTAGAACCAAAGATATATGTTCAGATAAGGCGAACTTCTATCTATGGAACTGACTTATAAAAAACAGAATGTCACACAATAAAATTACTTATTTCCAGTGTTATGAAGGTTTTTAAATCTTTTCCAGAACACTTTTTCTTTATAGAATGGAGAAAACAAAGAAAAAATATACATACACACACACATAATTTGAATGTATATAACCTCATCCATTAAATGTTGATTTCAGATACGGAAACATCATTTTGTCTCTCCTGGCTCTTGGTTACTAGCTAATAGCCAATCAGGATCATATAATAAATATTTTGGTAGTGTAATTTTGGAGTAAAGCAAAGAAGAGTAAAAGTGTGCCTGAATTTTACTCACCCACATCTCACTCTGTGGGGGAGGCCAGCAAGAAAGGAAAAGCTAGAAAAATAAAATATTATTGGACCCCAGAGAATTCTTGTGGAAATGTAGACAATACAAATTGGTTTTATTTGGCTGCATTTTATTGGTCATTCTTGGGAGAAATAATGCTAAGAAGAAGAAATCCTGTGTGATTTTTTTGTGTGTGCTTTTAAAAGCAAATTCAGTTTTACTAAGGAACATTACCCTTTGCCCACACATGGAAGCCTCCTGCTCAGACCTCTCATAACAAGCAGTAATAGGAAGTCACCTAAAAACTTTATTTTCCAGTCTTTTTTTCTGATTCTTGCGCTGCCTCCACCTGATCCTTAAAATTCAACCCTCTTATAGTCTTCAAAACTTACTCATAGAAGCAATTTAAGTGAGCAATGCAGACTTTACCAAAGATTCTAATGGGGGTAATCCATTATAGCATATGACTTTAAAAATACACCTTCAATATTTTGATCTCACTCTCTCTATTTTTTTTCTGCCAATGTCATACTGTTGGGTTTTCTTTCTGACATTTTTCTCACAGAGTTTTCAGTTCACTCACTTTTTTGATCTCTCTTGGATTTCTCCCAACCTGGAAAATAAAAATTCCTCACAACTTTAATATACACTTTAATTTTTGTCTTTATTCCAGCTGCAGCCCTCAACCTTATATCATATTCTGCTTTATCAGGATGGTCAGATAAACTAATAGGTCTTTCAATTATTGAGACTCACACTTTTGAAATCCCTTAGCACAGAGGTCAGCAAACTAAAGCCCTCTCAGCCAAATCTGGCCCTTCATCTGTTTTTGTAAGTAAAGTTTTATTAGAATACAGGTATGGTCATCCATTTACATATAACTAATGGCTGCTTTCATGTTACATGACAGATTTGAAGAGTAGCAACAGAGATCATACAGACTGCATAGCTGAAAATATTTACTAACTTGTCCTTCACAAAAAGTGTTTACCAATATCCAAGCAAGAAGATTAAGATTGTAATTAATAATTATGTGTTGTTTTCAGTCAACACTGATACACTATGCAGTTCTATCTTCAATGGACAATGAAAAATACACATACACACTTACATACACACCCTTCTCTCTCTCTCTCTCTGTCATATTTTGGTCTAAGAAGAGTTGATTAAGGTCACTAATGCAAAGGCCCTTCTTATCTATAATAATAAAACTTAGTTATCAAACAGACATACAAACCCAACTTTGAATATTAGTTTGTTTTAAATAACAAATATATTTTTTCAAAATGAAATTTTATAATAGAGTTTCAAATTTTAGTACTGTAAGTACAATTCTAAGCATGATATATTAGTTTAATTCATAAAGAGTTCATTGCTTTATCTGTCTATTTTTGGAAGATTTTAATGCCAAACAGAAGCGCTATGGTCAAAATTAAAGTGCTAGCCTAAAGTCAGATATCAGGTACGAGAGGAATCTTTAAACAGTTAGCTGAAATTTATAATTTTTATGTGAGTGAGCATTCATTTATCAGACAAAAACATTTAGCTTATTTAATTACACTTGGTTCTGTATTTTTAGAATAGTGAGGAATAATTTTCCTCTCATGGTTTATGGAAAAAATAATTTTAAAAAGCTAGAAAATGCAAAACTGCTGAACATCATTATTAACGACTCCTGAAATTTTATAATGAAGTGGTAATTGCCCTGATCATTGATTCTTTGATTCTACCTTGCATTGTTAGAGGAAAACTGATAAACATTGAATTAATTGAAACACAGCAGATTAGAATCATTAGAATCATTAATGTGTTCACAACTAGACTATTACATGCAGGGATGTAGTATCCAAAAAATAAGTACTTCATCATAGAGGCCAAAGATACATTTTTTAATTAGAATGTTGTGTTGTAGTTTAACCCTTTGAGAATTGCAATCTATATGTAAAGGATTTCTCCTCTGTATAAAATTTAAATATGTATCAAATGTACAAATAAGAGAGTAGGTTCATTAACATCGAACATAAAGAACCCACCAAATTTAAATCAGTGATTGGGAAGTTTTATTTTAATGACAGCCACTTCATGGCTGCCATGATATACATTGTTAATCATTATTTTCATGAAACTGTGGTATTTGTTAATAATACTATTAATATTGTTATTAATACTATTATCTATTGCATAACAATATTACCACAAACTTCACACATTTAGACAAGACACAGTTATGATCTCAGTTTTTATGTGTTTTGGGGCTCCAGCATGGCTCCCCTTTCCTCGGAGCAGTTTCCAGTGACAGAAATTGCAAGGAAGATAAGGACAACCATTTCTGGAAATGAATAATAATAATTATTACAGTGCTTAACCCAAAATGGGATTTAGTAGAAGCCAAGTGATATTTTAAAAATATCACTGACAGAGTTTTCCTCAAATGGTGACATGATATACAATTTTGGTTACAAAACATTTTTCAAAACCTTTGAGTCTTCAGAAATATTAGTTGGAGCTTTAATTTTGCTTTTTCTTGGCTCACATTTATTAATGGCATTTTTCCTAATCTGAGAACAGTTTCTTATTTGTTTAGCAAGGTTTAGTGAATACAAGAAACAGTCGCAGGTATATCCCAATCAATTAAAATTCCTCCATAGATAGTGCAACCTGGAAATGCTCTGAACAGGACTTCCAGATTATTGATCATTTTATCAATTTTATTCACAAACTGTGATTATCATTTAAATATAGCACCAATGATTGAATAAGAATTACTACAATCATTATGTAGTGAGTCGTAATTGAAGAAAAGATAAATATTTACAGATAGGCTGGTGTGCTCCTTTCTGCCCATTTTTCTGTACTCTGCTATTTGCCATGTGACCCCATTATCTTGGTCACAGCTGATAGAACATAGCAGAACTTTACCCACAGTGGCCCAAATCCATTCATTTTCATGAATTAAGTTGCTTAGGATGCGAGTCACTATGACCAAGTTGTTGCCTAAAACAAAAATGGCAACTGATTTATTTCTGATAAGGCTGTCATAGTTACAGAGACTGAAATCTTACTCTCATAACTGGCAAATTCTCCTTCTCTGTAAATATAAAAGGTAATCCAAATTACAAACACACTTGTGAAATCTGAGTCAGCATTAGTTAAGTAATTTAAAATATTATTTCTTTTATTTTTTAATCTTTATTTTTATTTGTATAAATTTATGGTGTGCATGTGAGATTTTGTTACATGTATATAATGTATAGTGAGCAAGTGAGGGATTTAGCGTGTCCATCACCCAACAAAAATACATTTTTGTTAAGTATAGTCACCCTATTCTGCTATCAAACATTGAATTTATTTCTTCTATCTTACTGTGTTTTTACCCACTTTTCCTCATCTTCTCTTTTTCATCTCAACTCACCCTTCCCATTTTCCTTTATCTATTTTTCCTCTCTCAACCCTCCATATGTTCAAAGTTTTAGCTTCCAAATGTAAGTGAGAGCATGGAATATTTGTCTATTTGTGCCTGGCTTATTTCACATAAGATAATGGCCTCCAGTTCCACTTACGTTGCTTCAAATGACATGATTTCATTTCTTTTTATTGCTAAATAATATATAGCATTATATCACATTACTCTATCCATTAATCCATTGATGGACACTTGATTCACATCTTTGCTATTGTGAGTAATGCTGCAATAAACATGTTAGTGCAGGTATCCCTTTGATGTGTTGTTTTCTTTTCCTTTGGGAAGATAACCCAGTAGTGGGATTGCTAGATCAAATGGTAATTCTAATTTTAGTTTTTTGAGAAATCTCCATACTGTTTTCCGTAGCAGTTATACTAGTTTACATTCTCACCAATGGTGTTATTCAAAAAACCTTGAGACACTCTTCCTGGTTAAAGAAGATACAGATTTTCCAGTGGAGCCAAAATCCCCGAAGTGTCATTACTATTACTTGATTTTTACATCGGTAGAAGAGTTGGACATTCATCTTGCCTTGCTGATGCTACTATTCCTATATCGACTGAAGAAAAGTGGAACTCCATAGTCTTTTTCATTATTAAAAGAACTATTATTTTGGATGTAAATTTTTTACCATTATTATTACCATTATTTTATAGCATAGAATCTGGGCATATTAGGTATTCAGAAATATTTATTAACGTTATTAGCTACTTATAGAAATATAATTGTAGAAAGTTTCTTTTTTAATATTTGAATTTTGGAAGATTTTAGATATCTCGTAAGAAATATCTATTGTTATATTTCAACTCTAATATCATAGTGTTTCAGTCAGATATAAATTGAGGTGAATGACATTGAGACCTTAAGAGGCAAAAAGGCAGGTAGAGACTGTAGGCAGGGCCAGAATAGAGAGTTTTCTTATGGAAGATAGGTTACAGACAAGTTAAACCTACTTCATGTAATGAATTGAAAGTTAACCTACTTGATGAACCAACTTGAAGTAATGTTTCTTTTCATTTTTGGGCCTTGTTCAAAGGCACATGTACTTTTATTATTTAGACATTTTTAAGAGTGTGACCTAAGTGAGGAAAATCCCAATGAACAATTGTGGTAAAATGTCAGTGCTCAAATCATGAAAAATATATTCGTATTTCTCATTAAATCATAGTAATAGTGCCTGAAAAAAAGGCACTTCTGTCTTAGAAAAATTTTGAAATAAAGAATGATTTCAGCAGATAAACATGGCTTTTGGCAGAATACTTCTGAAGCAAGTGGATGTATGCTCTGGCAATGTAAATAGAGATCAAAAGGACATTTGAATTCAGAGAATTGAAACCTAGAGTTAAAGTCAAAATGAAACAAAGCTTAAAAAGCTTTTAAAAAGATGATATATTAGGTATACATGAGGCATATGTAGTGATGCATGAAACAAATTTAAACAGACTCCAAGGATGGTTGTATTCAAAAGTTATATACATTATTTAAATAAGCAATTAAAATTTAATTTTATGTAATTTTTATTTGACTTTGTATTGTTATATACTTTTTTTTTTTCTGAGATGGAGTCTTGGTCTGTCACTTAGGCTGGAGTGCAGTGGTGCAATCTTGGCTCACTGCAACCTCCGTCTCCTGGGTCCAAGCAATTCTCCTGCCTCAGCCTCCTAAGTATCTGGGATTACAGACATACACCACCACACCCAGCTGATTTTTGTGTTTTTATTAGAGACAGGGTTTTCGTATTTTTGATAAAGATGGGATTTCACCATGTTGGACAGACTGGTCCCGAACTCTTGACCTCAGGTGGTGATCCACCTGCCTTCGCCTCCCAAAATGCTGGGATTATAGGTGGGAATTAGACACCACGCCTGGCCTGTATTGTTATACAATTTAAAGTATGTTTTAATAGAGATAGAAACATTCATAAAGAGTTGCTGAAATCATATTCAAAAAATATCTGATGAAAAGAGAAGAAAAACTGATTTAATAGGTGAAGAAAAATAATGAGCTATGAGAAATTACTATTGGAATTCCACCAGATTAGAAATAATTATATAATTTTCCATGTATATCTATATAAATTTTAAATTATGATAGAAATGTTCAATGCTTATATTATTTGTGTTGTGTGTCTGGCATTTTTAGAAAAAGGCAGTGTGGAAAGGACACACTGACTTACATCTGCCTAAGGCCCTAGGAATGCCTCTTCTCACTACCATTCACATTTCATTGGCAAAGATCAATCTCATGGCCTCCCTAGATGTTGGGGATAAGAGACTGGGATTTGTAGTACATCCACATGTTTACCAAGAGTTGGAGAACAATTGTGAATAGTTGCAGTCTCTATCATGGAGTCTAACTCTCGGAGGCTGACTCATGACAACCAAACTCATGAAAGACATATAAAGAATGACATTAATTAATTGGCACTAAAAATATATTGCCACAGGTACTGAATATATTTTCCCCATAATCACAATTTGAATATAGAATGAGACTATCTTATCTTAGCCTGGTGAGTCTTCATGATCTATCTCACACTGGAAATTATAACTACCCTCAATGCCTTAAAGTTTTATGTTCTTAGGCAAAGACACAAGTGACTGACAAAGATATCTTTTGAATGAGAGTTTATTTCTCTTGGGCCGGGCGCGGTGGCTCACGCCTGTAATCCCAGCACTTTGGGAGGCCGAGGTGGGCGGATCACGAGGTCAGGAGATCGAGACCATCCTGGCTAAAACGGTGAAACCCCGTCTCTACTAAAAATACAAAAAATTAGCCGGGCGTAGTGGCGGGCGCCTGTAGTCCCAGCTACTTGGGAGGCTGAGGCAGGAGAATGGCGTGAACCCGGGAGGCGGAGCTTGCAGTGAGCCGAGATCCCGCCACTGCACTCCAGCCTGGGCGACAGAGCGAGACTCCGTCTCAAAAAAAAAAAAAAAAAAAAAAAGTTTTATGTTCTTAGGCAAAGACACAAGTGACTGACAAAGATATCTTTTGAATGAGAGTTTATTTCTCTTGATAGATTTGAACATATACTCAGGTGGCAATGAAGTCTGGCTGACCTAATAACTATTCTGGATCTTAAGACAACTTTAATTTTTTCTACTTTGATCAATTCTGTTTTGATTTTAAAAACCCAAACATTTATGTTTTTATTATTTTCACTTTCGAGAGATAGATGGTCCACTCTGAAGCCTGTCAGAAAGAGTTTATTAAAATAGTTAGTGTTTAAAAACTCAGGACTATTTCTTCCTTCAGGTAATTACTTTCAGAACTATCATATTTTTCAGTTATACTATATAATAACTTTGAATAATATTCTCACTTTGTAAAATAAAACATCAACAAGTGTAGTTTTCAATATAAAATTAACTATAGTATCTTCTTCAATTTTTGTTTAAATAGGATAATCACACACATCTTTAACATCAGTATTATTCATTTAAAACCTCAAAAAGTTAAATTTCACTTTGTATATAAATTTTGGTGCCAGTAAAATACACTAAGCATATATCTTTTTCAAAGCAAAGGCAAATATTACATTTTCTATTTCAATTTAGAATAACTCAAAAAGAAAATGAAATAGATTTCAAAGGATCGATGATATAAAATAATACATCAAATACTTTCCAGTTGGTTGATTTTAATAATTCACAGCTTTTTCCTAAGCTATCATTCAAGTAATGTAGCACCACTTTCTATATAAAACTTTTTTACTGCCTATTCATAGTTACCATTTAATAATACTTTTAAAATTAATTTAAGCAGGTATATATGAATAAACATAAAGTGTCCTCTCACTCTCCATGTATATATATATATAAAGTTGCTTTTGGAGGGGATCATGGCAGACAGGAGACAGGACTAGATTGCAGCTCCCATTCAGACAGAGCAGTGTGTAGAGACTCGCATTATGAACTTTTGCTCCAGAACTACTGCAGGAATAAACTAAGAAATTCAAGAGAACCCACTGACCCTCTGAAGGAAGTGAATTGCTCCTGCAGGACCTAGGAGACACCCCAAATACTGTGAGTGCCCAAGTTGTGGAAGTGGGAAAGAGATTGTCCACCCTGAACACACACCTTCACTGGGGGACTGGAAGGTTTAGATCATGGGAGAAAATTCTGACCTTACCTGGCACAGAGTCAATTTAGACCCCTGAGCGAAATACAGGGGTAGAGGAAGGAGTGGGAAAAACTCTGTGGGCTTGCTGGGTCCCCTAGCAAGCCATTTCTGCCCTGCCTCACAGGAGCCCTTGGGGAGGATGGCCAGAGGCACTGGGAAAAGACCACAGGGAGAATGAAACCTCCAGCTGAACGTTGTAACAATTCCAACCAAACGCAAAGTATTCTGGCCAGAAATCGAGAAAGGCATGAAACCAGTGTGCTGATTCCACAGGTGGGGATTCATGAAGGCCATCCTTACTTTTGCAGCTGGGAGGCTGGTAGCCTGAGGCAAGTTCTCAGCCCTGCTCACCCACTGCCTGGAAACAGATTCAGTGCTGTTGAGGGGGGCTTGGTGGGAGTGAGAACAGCCTTTTGCATTACATGGGAGCTGGGTGAGGCCTGTGACTGCTGGCTTTCCTCCACTTCCCTGACAACCTGCATGACACATCACAGGCAGCCATAATCATTCTGGGAACATACTCCATTGATCTGGGAACCACACCCTATGCTCCACAGCAACCTCAGCAAGACCGAACCAAGGAAAGTCTGAGCTCAGATATGCCTAGCGCTGCCCCCACCTGATGGTTCTTCCCTACCCACCTTGGTAGCTGAAGACAAAGGGCATATCCTCTTGGGAGTTCTAGGGCCCTGCCCACCACCTGATCCTGCCTATGCTACCACAGCTGTTGCTCTCTTGAAAAAGCCACCTCCTGGCAGGAGGCCAACCAGCATAAAAATAGTGCATTAAACAACCGAAACTAAGGATCCTCACAGAGTTCGTTCATTTCACACCCCTTCCCACCTCCTCTGGAGCAGGTGCTGTATACAAAGCTGAGAGACCTGCAGATGGTTCACATCACATCACAAGACTCTGTGCAGACACCCAGTAGTACCAGCCCAGCACCTGGTAGACCTGCTGGGTGGCTAGATCCAGAAGAGATAACAATCACCACAGCTCAGCTCTCAGGAAACCACAACCCTAGGAAAAATAGGAGAGTACTATGTATAGGGAATACCCCCTGGGACAAAAGAATCTGAACAGCAGCCTTGAACCCTAGATCTTCCCTCTGACATAGCCTATCCAAATGAGAAGGAACCAGAAAAACAGTTCTGGTAATATGAAAAAACAAGGTTCTTTAACATCCCCTCAAAAAATCACACTAGCTCACCAGCAATGGATCAAAACCAAGAAGAAATTCCTGATTTACGTGAAAAAGAATTCAAAAGGTCAGTTATTAAGCTAATCAAGGAAGCATCAGAGAAAGTTAAAGTCCAATTTAAGGAAATAAACAAAAAGTGATACTAGAATAAAAAGTCTTCATTGAAAGACATAGCATAAATAAAAAAAAATCAAAACTTTAGGAAATAATAGACACACGTAGAGAAATGCAAAATGCTCTGGAAAGTCTCAGCAATAGAATCAAATAAGCAGAAGAAAGAACTTCAGAGCTCAAAGACAAGGTTTTCGAATTAATCCAACAAAGACAAAGAAAAAAGAATTAGAAAAAATGAACAAAGCTTACAAGAAGTCTGGGATTATGTTAAACAACTAAATCTAAAAATAACTGGTGTTCCTGAGGAATAAGAGAAATCTGAAAGTTTGGAAAACATATTTGAGGAATAATCAAGGAAAACTTCCCTGGCTTTGCTAAAGACATAGCCATCCAATTACAAGAAGATCAAAGAACACCTGGGAAATTCATCACAAAAAGATCATTGCCTACGCACATTGTCATCAGGTTATCTAAAGTTAAGATGAAAGAAAGAATCTTAAGAGCTTTAAGGCAAAAGCACCAGATAAGCTATAAAGAAAAGAACTTCAGAGCTATCATATTAACAGCAGATTTCTCAGCAGAAAACCCTACAGGCTGAAGGGATTGGGGCCCTATATTCAGCCTCCTTAAACAAAACAATTATCATCCAAGAATTTTGTATCCAGTGAAACTAAGCTTCATAAATGAAGAAAAGATAGAGTCTTTTTCAGACAAACAAATGCTGAGAGAATTTGCCACTACTAACCCAGCTCTACAAGAAATGCTAAAAGGAGTTCTAAATCTTGAAACAAATCCTGGAAACACATCAAAACAGAATCTCTTTAGAGCATATATCTCACAGGACCTATAAAATAAAAATACAATTAAAAAACAATATATACCGGCAACAAATAACATGATGAATGGAATAGTACCTCATATTTCAATACTAACGTTGAATGTAAATGGCCTAAATGCTCCACTTAGAAGATACAGAATTGCAGAATGGATGAGAATTCATCAACCAACTATCCTGCCTTCAATAGACCCACTTAACATAAGGACTCATATAAACTTAAGGTAAAGGGGTGGAAAAAGACATTCCATGCAAATCAACACCAAAAGCGAACAGGGGTAGCTATTCTTATATCAGACAAAACAAACTTGAAGGCAACAACAGTTAAAAACGACAAAGATGGACATTATATAATGATAAAAGGTCTTGTCCAACAGGAAAATATCACAATTCAAAATATATATGAACCTAACACTGGAGCTCCCAAATGTATAAAACAATTACTGTTAGACCTAAGAAATGAGATAGACAGCTACACAATAATAGTGTGAGACTTCAAAACTCCACTGACAGTCTAGACAGGTCATCAAGACAGAAAGTCAAGAAAGGAACAACAGATTTAAACTACACTCTGGAACAAATGGACTTAACAGATATTTACAGAGCATTCTGCCCAACAACCACAGAATATACATTCTGTTCCACAGTGCATAGAACTTTCTCCAAGTTAGACCATATGATAGGCCATAAAAGAAGTCTCAATAATTTAAGAAAATTGAAATTATACCAAGTACTGTCTTAGATCAAGGTGGAATAAAACTGGAAATAACTCCAAAAGGAACCTTCAAAACTATGCAAATACATAGAAATTAAATAACCTGCTCCTGAATAATCACTGGGTCAACAATGAAATTAAGATGGAAATTTAAAAATTCTTGTAACTGAATGACAATAGTAACACAACCTATTAACACCTGTGAGATACAGCAAAGGTGTTGCTAAGAGAAAAGTTCATAGCCCTAAATGCCTACATCAAAAAGTCTGAAAGAGCACAAATAGACAATCTACGGCCACACCTCAAGGAACTAGAGAAACAAGAACAAACCAAACCCAATCCCAGCAGAAGAAAGGAAATAACCAAGATCAGAGCAGAACTAAATGAAATTGAAACAACAACAACAACAAAACAATACAAAAGATAAATGAAACAAAATCTGATTCTTTGAAAAGATAAATAAAATTGAGAGATCATTAGCAAGATTAACCAAGAAAAGAAGAGAGAAAATCCAAATAAGCTCAATAAGAAACAAAATGGGAGATATTACAACTGACACCACAGAAATACAAGATTATTCAAGGCTACTATGAACACCTTTACATGCATAAACTAGAAAACCTAGAGGAGATGGATACATTCCTGGAAAGATAAAACCCTCCTAGCTTAAATCAGGAAGAATTAGATACCCTGAACAGACCAATAACAAGCAGTGAGATTGAAATGTTAATTAAAAAATTACCAACAACAAAAAAAGTACAGGACCAGATGGATTCACAGCTGAATTCCGCCAGACATTCAATGAAGAATTGGTACCAATCCTATTGACACTACTCCACAAGATAGAGAAAGAGGGAATCCTTCCTAAATAATTATATGAAGCCAGTATTACCCTAATACCAAAACCAGGAAAGGATATAACAAAAAAAGAAAGCTACAGATGAATATCCCTGATGAACACAGATGCAAAAGTCCTTAACAAAATACTAGCTAAGCAAATCCAACAAGATATCGAAAAGATAATTCACCATGATCAAGTGTGTTTCATACCAGGGATGAATAAAGTCAATAAATGTGATACACCACATAAACAGAATTAAAAACAAAAAAATCACATGATCATCTCAACAGATGCATTTAACAAAATCCAGCATCCATTTTTGATGAAAAAACATTAGACAAAATCCAGCATGCATTCTTGATGAAAACTCTCAGCAAAATTGGCATAAAAGGGACATACCTCAATGTGATAAAAGCCATCTATGACAAACCCACAGCCAACATAATACTGAATGGGGAAAAGTTGAAATAATTCCCTCTGAGAATCAGAACAACAGAAAGATACCCACTCTCACCACTTCTACTTGACATAGTACTGGAAGTCCTAGCCAGAGCAATCTGACAAGAGAAAGAAATAAAGGGCATCCAAGTCAGTAAAGAGGAAGTCAAACTGTCACTGCTTGCTTATGATATAATTGTATACCTAGAAAATCCTAAAGACTTCTCCAAAATGCTCCCAGAACTGATAAAATAATTCAACAAAGTTTCCGGATACTAAATTAATGCACACAAAGCAGTAGCTCTCCTATACAGCCACAGCGACCAAACTGAGAATTAAATAAAAAACTCAACTCCTTTTACAATAGCTGTAAAAAAAAAAAAAAAAAAAAAAAAAAACCCTTAGGGATATACCTTACTAAGAAGGTGAAAGAGATCCTCTACAAGAAAAACTACAAAGCACTGATGAAAGAAATCATAGGTGACACAAACAAATGGAAACACCTCCCATGCTCAGGGATGGATAGAATCAATATTGTGAAAATGACCATATTGCCAAAAGTAATCTACAAATTCAATGCAATTCTCATCAAAATACCATCATCATTCTTCACAGAACTAGAAAAAACATCCTAAAATTCATGTGGAACCACCAAAGAGCCCACATAGCCAAAGCAAGACTAAGCAAAAAGTACTAATCTGGAGGTACAAACAGTTTTGGTGACTATGGCCTTATAGTATAGTTGGAAATCAGATAATGTAATTTGTACAAATTGCAAATCACAATTACATGATTTCCAACTATACTATAAGGCCATAGTCACCAAAACAGCATGGTACTGGTATAAAAATAGGCACATAGACCAATGGAACAGAATAGAGAACCCAGAAATAAACCTAAATATTTACAGTCAACTGCTCTTCAACAAGGTAAACAAAAACATAAAGTAGGGAAAGGACACCCTATTCAACAAATTCTGTTGGCATCATTGGCAAACCACATGAAGGAGAATGAATCTGGATTTTCCTCTCTCACCTTATACAAAAATCAACTCAAGATGGATCAAGGACTTAAATATGCAGTGGGAAACTATAAAAATTCTGGAAGATAAAATTGAAAAAACCCTTCTGGACATTGGCTTAGGCAAAGATTTCATGACCAAGAACCCAAAAAACAGATGCAATAAAAACAAAGATAAATAGCTGGGACTTCATTAAAGTAAAAACCTTTTGCATGGCATAAGGAACAGTCAACAGAGTAAACAGAAAACCCACAGAGTGGGAGAAAATCTTCACCATCTATACATCTGACAAAGGACTAATGTCCAGAATCTACAATGAACTCAAACAAATTAGCAAGGAAAAAAACAAACAATCCTATCAAAAGTGGACTAAGGACATGAATAGACAATTATCAAAAGAAGATATACAAATGGCCAACAAACATGAAAAAATGCTCAACATCACTAATGATCAGGGAAATGCAAATCAAAACCACAATGCAATACAACCTTACTCCTGCAAGAACGGCCATAATCGAAAAATAGATGTTAGCATGAACATGGTGAACAGGGAACACTTCTACACTGCTGGTGGGAATGTAAACTAGTACAACCACAAAGCAGTGTGGAGATTCATTAAATAACTAAAAGTAGAACTAGTAATCCCACTATTAGGTATCTACCCAGAGGAAAAGAAGTCATTGTACAAAAAAGATATTTGCTGATACATGTTTATAGCAGCAGAATTTGAATTGCAAAAATGTGGAACCAGCCCTAATACCCATCAATCAACAAGTGGATAAAGAAACTGTAGTATATATACACAATGAAATATTACTAAGCCCTAAAAAGAATGAATTAATAGCATTCACAGCAGCTTGGATGGGATTGGAGACTATTATTCTAAGTGAAGTAACTCAGGAATGGAAAACCAAACATCGTATGTTCTCACTCATCAGTGGGGACTAAGCTATGAGGATGCAAAGGCATAAGAATGAAACAATGGACCTTGGGGACTCAGGGGGAAAGGGTGAGAAGAGGAGTGAGGGATAAAGGACTACAAATTTGGTTTCAGTGTATAATGCTTGGGAGATACATGCAGCAAAATCTCACAAATCACCACTAACTAAAGAACTCGCTCATGTAACCAAATCCCACCTGTTCCCCCAAAACCTATGTAATAACAAAATTCTTAAAAGGTTGCTTTGAAAGACAAAACAATTTCCTATCGAAATAATATTGTTTAAATAGGAAATCCCCTAAATGTGGGATTTAGTATCTGTCAGTATTAACAGGCTGATAATCTTAAATGGTACCCTATACATCCTCCAAATTTATTACCCAATCCAAAATGATAGCCATTAAACAAGAAAATTATTTAAGATTAATAGACTAGATACTGTTTCTCAGGAGATATGTAGTATTTTCCTGTGTGTTAACCTATCTTAAGTTCACAATTCTAATCAAAAAATAGATATTCCTCACCTCTGTGAGAAGCGTCTATCTACCAGGTGTTCACAAATTTAGTTTGTTCTGTATTAATGGATGAGAGTGTTCAACTTAAAGCTCTAAATTTTGGGGGACTCTGTGTGTGTGTGAATTATATGTCATCATCATTTTTTCCTAGAAAAAATGATTTAGGAAGCAATATTTTGTCTATGACATTTGTTAAAAATGCACCTTATATAGAAAATCAAAATTGATAACGTTTAGCAAAGTTTAAACTTTAAAAAAAGAGAAAGTTTAGTGGGAAAGGTTGTGAAAACATTCCTAAGTACTAAAGTAATACACATAATTTTGCAATCATCTATCAATATATTTTATCAATACCAAAAAAATTAATAGAAGCCAAAGAGCTTTCTCCCCAAGTCAATATATGCCTTATACTTATGTTTAAATTATGCAAATATTATTAGAAATCCATGTAAATGTAACCAATATTTCAGTTTCCCCCTAAATGCTTGTCATGTAAGTTAAAAGAATTTGGCATTGGAAAAAGAGCAAAAATATTCACTGTAATTAATACAATTACTTTATGAATTTTTCTCTTTCACAGTATATAAAATGTATTCAAATGGTACTGAAAAGACTTCAATAATTTTGCTGCATTCTTAATTTCAGAATACTTTTAGAAATTGCCAATCTAACAACTAATTGCAAGGTATTTTCTAATCGTTAATTTAATCTGTCCTACTTCAAATTCATGTAAAAATACATATCTCCCAAGGCTGGTACAAAGTTTCATGTCCTTATTTTAAAGTATTTTCATTATATTGTCTGTTAGGTTATTAAAGAAAAAAAAAGGTGGTCTGTATCATTTCTCACAATTAGCTCTAAGCTTTGATGGAGAGTAAAAGTATGACTCTTCCTAAAACTGATTTGCTTAATATACAGTTTCTAGTATATTGGAAATTAAGCATAGTTCAAAATTAAAATAGCACATCTTGTTTCAAGAGGTTGAAGAGGAATATCTTCTTTAAATCATATTTTTCAAGTTAGATCACAAGCATCTTACTTGTAGAAGGCTTAACAATTTCATAATCTTCACTTCCTCTTGCATCATTATGCTTATGTCTTTTACCTCCATATCCTTCCTACTAAAACTTTCTTATTCTTTAACACTTAGTATGCTATTATTTACATAATTTTTTTTCTTCTATCCCCCAGAAGAAATGAAATGTTCATATTTCATATTGTCAAAATGCTTTCAACTTAATTCTACAAATCATCTTTTTTTGTTTTTATTCTATCTGTAGCAATGGAGGTTCAGTTTGAAACTAGGGAATACTGGCCAGGCACAGTGGCTTATGCCTGTAATCCCAGCCCTTCAGGAGGCTAAGTGCTGGGTGGATCTCCTGAGGTTAGGAGTTCGAGACCAGCCTGACCAACATGGTGAAACCCTGTCTCTACTCAAAATACAAA